>NC_000014.9:66884440-67187470 GCF_000001405.40 Homo sapiens
TCATATTTACTAGCATTTACTAGCAGTGTTACCTTGGTACTTTACAAGGTTTAGCACATCTTGTTCCAGTGGTTAACTAAACTGCCCACAAAATAGTAGCATTTAACCTCCCTAAATTTATAATTTATTCCCTACTTGTTTTTTTTTAAAAGATCAAATACTCTTTTTTCCCCCTAAATTTCATTAAAAACAACAGACTAACCACTGTGGTTATACACTGAAGAATGATTTGTCATGGATTTTATTCTCAGTTTTGTCATTAATTTGATTTATGATCTCTACTTAGTTTTATAGGGATATTACATAGCTGATAGAAATGTTATGAGGTCCTTTAAAGATTTACTCACACATATGTGTGTGTGTGTGTATGTGTGTGTGTATATATATATATATATATAAAATAAGAAATATCTAATTCATAAAAAGAGAAATTGATTGCCAGTTTTCCATTTTAGTATGAAGAGATTTACCATTGTAATCTTCAGTGACTCATCTTTCAATTCTGTAACTGTAATAAACACATGCACTGCTTTTAGGGAGGAGATAATATTTTCCATTTGCTGCCAAAAATGGTTTTATAACTGATATTGGTTAAAAGAAAAATTTCAGGAAATAACAACACAAAACTTATTTTTTATAGAAATGAATCAAATTATTCTTAGTATTATTTAGATAATATTAAAGTAACATGAGTCATTTAAAGTAACAGTACTATCATCTTAAAGAGTTTCTGTTTTTTTAACCCACACCAAATATACTTAGCTTATAAAAGTCTGTAGGGGAGCATAAGATGGCAGAGTAGTATATATAGGAATCTGTTTCTCCACCTGGACAACCGTTTGAACTGGCAGGATCTCTCTGATATAACTATTTTGGAACTTTGTAGTCTATTCAAAGGCTTATGGCTTACTGGAAAAGACTTGACTAGTAGATTTTGGTTAATTTGGGTCAATTTTAACCTAGTGTGCTACTAGCCAACCATTCTCCAGTGCTCCAGCTAGCAGGTACTAGGGTTTATAGGACAGCTTGTAGAAGACAGAATGGGTAATTAAGGACCTTATCTTCCAAATATTGGGGATCCAGGTTCTATTGTGGATTACTGCTTTAGGTTGTAGAAGTGCAGAGGCAAAGACAGGCTGCCATTGTTTCAACCCACACTGGCTGAAGTATCTTCAAGGGATTTATAAGGACAGTACCTACATTTTCCCCTACATTTTTCTTCTTCTCTTTTGGGACCCAGAAATTACAGGATTAGAAAATTCAAAGGCAGCTACATATATGGGGGAATTTAGAAAGTCACTATGCATGCCCAGAGGAAAAGGCAGGCTGAGAAAAAGAGAAAGGCCTTAAGTTTATACCTCAGGCTTATTTCTTACACAGAACACTTTATAACAATTTAAAAAAAAAAAAAAGCAAACCCTAGGGAAGGGAGAGAAGCTGATTTCTAGAATTACCATATTATAAGATTCAAATATTCAGAGTTCAACAAAAATAAAATGACAAAGCAAAGAAAAAGTATGATCCATTCAAATGAAAACAATAAATTGACAAAAATCCATGAGGAAGATGAAATGGAGAACTTACTAGACAAAGGCTTTAAAACAACTATCTTAAAGATTCTCAAAGAACTAAAGGAATATATTGATAATGCCAAGATAATGATGTGTAAGCAAAAGTAAATATCAATAAATATATTTTAAAAACATAAAAAAAGAATCAATCAGGCAGCTAAAATGACCTATCAGTTTAATATCATCTTTTAAGGCCATGATGGGACTGTCCATAATCAGGCTTCTCTCCACTGTATGCAGGAGGAAGTGGCCACTATTAACAGCCCTCCCTTTTTGTAGCATTAGACAGCAACAGGCCACCCTGAGATTATTTACAGAGAACAGCTATAAAAACACTTGCAAATATATTCAGTCCAGACTAGAAAATACTTTTCCCCCATGAGTGTGAAGATTCATATTGTAGGCTAGTAAATCTCTCTGCACATGTTCATCATGACAATGTACTCAGGAGTTCTAAGTCATGATGAGCATCCTGCAGCAGTTCCAGTGAATTATGGATGAAAAACATGTATCCTTTAAAAAAATAAAGAAGAAAAAAAAAAGAATAATGAAGAAATGAGTTGACAAGTACAATCGCTGAAAAAAAATCATTAGTGGGATTCAAAAGCAGTTTTCAGCAGGCAGAAAAAAGAATCAGCAAACTTAAAGGCAAAACAATTGAAATTAACAAATCTGAGGAACAGAAACAAAAAAGATGGAAGAAAACTGAACAGAGCCTAAGGGACCTATGGAACAACATTAAGCAGACCAGCATACACATTATGGGGATTCAAGATGGATGAGTGAGGGAGAAAGGGGCTTACCAGAGCAAAGACTCATGAACACTAATAAGCGTGGGAAACTGTCAGGTAGGCAAACCTAAACTGTAATTGACAAATTGCTAGAGGTTCAGTGCAGACAACTATGAGAGTTAAAAACTTCAGGGAAACTCAGTCGCTACAATTTTGTGAAAACTGAATGGAACCTAAGGGATCTCTGGAACAAGTCCTTCGGAACAACCAGGTTCTCACAGTAAATATTAGAGGAAAATTCCCTCATGTTTCAGCAGGGAAGAGGAAAGGGAACTATTGTGAAATACACCAGGGTACTCTGTTCTTCTTAATGAGCCCTAACCCGAGGAGAAACTACTTAACCTGAACCTACCCTGCTGGAGTATAATCAAATACTAACTTACCTAGGGGAAGGGAAATACCCAACTTCAGCTCACTGTAGCCATCTTCTCCCATGTAACAGGGGAGGAAAAATTGAGAAAAACTCGTGAAGTTCACTAAAAGCCTCACTAAAAGACTGAGACCTGGCCAGGCATGGTGGCTCACACCTATAATCCCAGTGCTTTGGGAGGCCAAGGCAGGTGGATCATGAAGTCAGGAGATTGAGACCATCCTGGCTAACACAGTGAAACCTCATCTACTGAAAATACAAAAAATTAGCTGGGCATGGTGCCACGTGCCTATAGTCCCAGCTGAGGCAGGAGAATCGCTTGAACCTAGGAGGTGGAGGTTGCAGTGAGCTGAGATCGTGCCACTGCACTCCAGCCTGGCGACAGAGCGAGACTCCATCTCAAAAAATAAAAAGACCAAGACCTAATGATAGGACTATAGAATACTTCCCCACCCCCACACATCCCCACCACATTACTAGAGGCCTGTCTACAGCAGTTCCTTTTACCTGGTATATCATGTTTGGCTATGAAGAAAAATTACAAGGCATATCAAATGGCAAAAAAATACAATTTGAAGAGACAAAGCAAGCATCAGAAGTAGACATGGCAGGAATGTTGGAATTATCAGTCTGGGAATTTAAAAATCATTGTGATTAACATGCTAAGTGCTCCAATGGATGAAACAGATACCATGCAAGAACAGATGGATAATGTAATCAAAGACATGAAACTCCTAAGAACCAAAAATAAATGCTAGAGATCAAAAACACTATAACAGACATAAACAGTGCCTTTGATGGGCTTATTAGTAGAATGGACACAGCTGAGGAAATAAAAAACTCTTGAGCATGAGGATCTCTCACTGCATACCTCCAAAACTGAAAAGCAAAGAGAACAAGTTCTGAGAAACGAAAAAACAGAACAGAATATCAAAGAATTTTGAGACAACTCTAAAACGTAGAACATCTACATAATGCGAATACCCAAAAGAGAAGAACGAGAAAAACAGAAGAAATATTTGAAACAATGACCGAGAATTTCCCCAAATTAATGTCAGATGTCACAAAAACAACTATACCTAGACATACCATCTTCAAACTAGAGAAAATCGAAAATAAAAAATCATGACAGAGTCCAGAGGGGAAAAAAACTCCCTATCTATAGAGGAAGAAAGATAAGAATTACATTTAACTTGTCCTCAGACATGCATTTAAAAAATCAGTCTATGATTTGGGGCATACAGTATGTAAAGATGTAATTTAAGACATCAATAACTAAAAGGGGTGAGGGACAGAGTAGTATAAGAGCAGAGGTTTTGTATGCTGTTGAAGATAAGCTGGTATAAATTCAAATTATTACTTTAGGATGTTAAATGTAATCTTCATAGTGGCCACAAGGAAAATAGGTACAGGATGTACATTAAAAAAATGAGAAAAGAATTAAAATATTTCACTAAAAAAAATTAAGAACAAATGAAGATAGTAATGTAGGAAATAAGGAGTTAAAAAGCTATAAGGCATATGGAAAACCCTTAACAAAATGGTAGAATTCCCTTTTTGTCACTAATTACTTTAAGTGTAAATGGATTAAACTTTCCAATCAAGAGACAGAGATTAATGGACTGGATAGGAAAGCATGATCCAGCTATATGCTGTCTACATGAGACTCATTTTAGATCCAAAGACATAAATAAGTTGAAAGTGAAAGGATAGAAAAAGATAGTCAGGCAAATAGTAACCAAAAGCGAACCATGGTGGCTATAATAATATCAAATAAATTTTAAATCAAAAATGTTTAAATATCTTAAATCCAAAAAGTTTACAAGAGACAAAGGATATATGTTACTAGAAGGTTTAATTCTGCACAGTAATATTATACTTATAAACATTTATGCACTTAATAATAGACTGTCAAAATAGATGAAGCAAAAATGGACAGAATTGAAGAGGAAAATAGACAGCTATGCAAGAATAGTTGAGGAATTCAATATGCCACATTCAATAATGGATAGAACAGCCACACAAAAGGTAAGTAAAGAAATGTAAGAACTTAAACAACACAATAAACCAACTAGATACAACCCACATATATAAAACACTTCACCCAACAACAGTAGCATACACCTTCTGAAGTACACATGGGACATTCTCCAAGATAGAGCACATTAGGCTACAAAATAAGTTTCAATAGGTTTTTTAAAATAGATGCCATAAAAAGTATATTGCAAAATAGTATATTCTTCAAAGCATATTCTCCAAAAAGAGGATGAAGTTCGAAATCAGTGACAGAAGGAAAACCGGAAAATTTACAAATATGTGAAAATTAAACACACTCAAATAGCCAATAAGTTAAAGAAGAAATCATAAGGGAAATTAGAAAATATTTAAAAGTGAATTAAAACAAAAATGCAACATACCAAAACTTCATAGCATGCAGAAAAAGCAGCACTGATATTGCTGTAAGCATTTAAAAAATAATTACATTTTTGAAAACCTCAAAAACAGCAGTCTCATGTATAACTATAAGTTAAGAAACTAGAAAAAGAATAACAACCTAAACCCAAAGCTAGCAGAAAGAAGGAAATAATAAAAATTAGAGCAGAGATAAATGAACTAGAAAATCAAAAAACAATAGAGAAAATCAACTAAGCTAAAGTTGGTTCTTCAAAAAGATCAACAAAATCACAAAATTTTAGCTAGATAGACTAAGAAAAAAAAAGAAACTCAAATTACTAAAATCAGTAATGAAAATGGAGTCATTAGTACCAATTCCACAGAAATAAAAAGGACTAGAAGAGTACAGCGTAACAATTACATGCCAACAAGTTGAATAACCCAGACGAAGTGGACAAACTCCTAGAAACACAAAACCTACTGAGACTGAATCACAAAGAAATAGAAAATCTGAATAGACCTATACCTAGGAAGGAGAATGACTCAGAAATTAACAACCTCTCAGCTGGGTACGGTGGCTCACACCTGTAATCCCAACACTTTGGGAGGCCAAGGTGGATGGATCACTTGAGCACAGCAAAACCAGCCTGGGCAACATGGCAAAACCCTATCTCTACTAAAAATTCAAAAAATTAGCCAGGTGTAGTGGCACACACCTGTAGTCCCAGCTACTCAGGGGTCTGAGGCAGGAGGATCACTTGAGCCCAGGAGGTAGAGGCCACACAGTGAGCCCTGATCATGCGCACTGCGCTCCAGCCTGGGCAACAGAGTGAGACCCTGTCTCAAAAAAAAAAAAAAAAAAAAACCTTTCTATCTTTCTATTTACAAAATACCAGGACCAGTTGGCTTCACTGATGAATTCTACCAAGTATTTCAAGAACAACTGACACTGGTTGTTTCCAAAATCTTTTCCAAAAAATTGAAGAGAAGACAACACTTCCTAACTCATTTTATGAATGGCAGCATTGGTCTCATACCAAAGACAGGAAAAACAAAACAAAACTGCAGGCCAATATCCCTTAATGAATGTTGATGGAAAAATGCTCAAAAAAAACCCCCAGCAAACTGATTGCAGCAACATATTAAAAAGAATTATACAAGGTGACCCTAGAATACAAGGATGGTTCAACATATGAAAATAAATCATTGTAATATACCACAGTAGCAGAATGGAGGGAAAAAAAAACCCATGTGATCATTTGATGATGGGTTTTCAGCATCAATGGGTGCTGAAAAAAAATTTGGAAAAATTCAAGTTTCATGTTAAAAACACTCAACAAACTAGGAAAAGAAGGAAACTACCTTAATGTGAAAAAGGCCTTATGTAAAAAACCCACAGCTCACATCATATTCAGCGGTGAAAGACTGAAAGCTTTTCCTTTAAAATCAGGAACAAGATGGGGATGCCCACTTTTTCCACTTCCATTCAACATAGTATTGGAACTTCTAGCCAGAACACTTAGGCAATAAACAGAAATGAAAGGTATCCAAATTGGAAAGGAAGAAGTAAACCTATCTTTTTTTTTTTGACATGATTATATATGTAGAAAACCCAAGATTCCACACACAAAACCATTAGAACTAATAAATGAATTCAGCAAAGTTGCAGAATACAAAATCAGGCTGCAAAAATCAGTCTTATTTTTATACAATGACAATAAACTATCCAAAATAAAATCAAGAAAATGGAATAGAAACAAGAGCCCAGAAATAAGCCCTTGCATATAGGATGTAATAATTTTCAACAAGGGTGTCAATTCAATGGGGGAGAGAATAGTCTTTTCAACGAATGGTGTTGGGAAAATTGGATATCCACTTGCCAAAGAATGAAGTTGGACCTTTGCCTACTGAATATAAAAATTAATTCAAAATGGATCAAAGACCTGTACACAAGAGCTGAAACTAAAAAACTCTTAGAAAAAAACATAGGGGGACAGCTTCATGACATTAGATTTGGCAGTCATTTCTTGGATATGACACCAAAAGCATAGGCAGCAAACAAAAAACTAGATAATTTGGACTTTATCGATGTTGAAAATCTTTGTACATTGAACAAAGTAAAAGGGCAACCCATGGAATCAAGAAAATATTCACAATCACATATCTGGCAAGGTATTAATATTCTATATATATATATTTTTTTTAATTCCTACAAGTCAATAAAGAAAATGCTATTTAAAAACAGGCAGAAGACTCAAATAGATATTTCTCCAAAGAAGATACACAAATGACTGATAACATGAAAAGATCCTCAGCATCAATAGTCATTAGGGAAATGCAAATCAGAACCACAGTGATATACAACTTCACACCCATTACGTTGGCTGTTATCAAAAAAATAATAATAAATAAGTGGTGGCAGAATGTTTAGAAACATTGTGTATTGCTGGTGAGGATGTAAAACTGTGCAACTGCTATGGGAAACTATGGCATATCCTCAAGAAATTAAGCATAGAATTATATGACCCAGGAACTCCACTTCCAAGTTACATATCCAAAAGAATTGAAAGCAGGGGCTGGGTGTGGTGGTTTAAACCTGTAATCCCAACACTTTGGGAGGCTGAGACAACAGGATCACTTGAGGCCAAGAGTTTGAGACCAGCCTGAGCAAAATAGACCCTGTCTCTACAAAACTTGTTTAAAAAAATTAGCCAGTCCTGGTGACACACACCTATAATCCTAGCTACTCAGGAGGATGAGGGAGGAGTATCACTTGAGCCCCGGAATTCGAGGTTACAGTGAGCTGTGATCATGCCACTGCATTCCAGTCTGGGCAACAGAGTGAGACTGTCTCTTAAAGAATTGAAAGCAGGGACTGTAATAGATATTTGCACGCCAATATTCATAACATCATTATTCACCTTACCCAAAAGTTGGAAGCAACCCAGATGTCCATTGATTGATGAATGCATAAACAAAATGGGTTAAATACATGGAATGAAATATTATTCAGCCTTAAAAATTATTGTTAATTCTAACACTTGCTACAACATAAATGAATCTTGAAAACATTGTGCTAAATGAAATAAGCCAGATTATATAAGGACAAATGTGTGATTCCACTTACATGAAGTATCTAGAATAACCAAATGCATAAAGAAAATAGAACAGTGCTTATGAGTGGATAGCGAGAAGAGAATGGAGAGTTTTTGTTTGGGATGATGAAAAAGTTCTGGAGATGGACAGTGGTGATGGTTGCACAATAATGTGAATGTACTTAATGCCACTGAATTGTATACTTAAAATTAGTTAGAATGGTAAAGGTTATGTTATGTATATTTTACCAGAGTTCCTTTTATAGCTATAGGACAGGAAATGCAACATACATAAAATGTACATTTTCTTGAAACATTTCTGCAGTGTTTCAGGCCCAACTTCCAGACTCCAGTATGACAGGAGGTATACTGGGTTTCAAAAGACAAGTGACACAGATGGTGTGAGGACCACCTCAACACAGGAGAGCTGACACCTTTCTCCTTCTCTCACCCAACTTTTATATTTTCCTAAATATCATAGCTTCATAACAGATTTGTGATAGCTGGACTTATTTGTTATAACTCATAAAATAGGAACTCTGGGCAATAGGAACAGCTCCAGTCTACAGCTCCCAGCGTGAGTAACGCAGAAGACAGGTGATTTCTGCATTTCCAACTGAGGTACCGGGTTCATCTCACTGGGGCTCATCGGACAGTGGGGGCAGGACAGTGGTTGCAGCCCACTGAGTGTGAGCTGAAGCAGGGTGAGGCATTGCTATTTATGACAAACCCACAGCCAGTATCATACTGAATGGGCAAAAACTGGAAGCATTCCCTTTGAAAACTGGCACAAGACAGGGATGCCCTCTCTCACCACTGCTATTCAACATAGTGTTGGAAATTCTGGCCAGGGCAATCAGGCAAGAGAAAGAAATAAAGGGTATTCAATTAGGAAAAGAGGAAGTCAAATTGTCCCTGTTTGCACATGACATGATTGTATGTTTAGAAAACCCCATCGTCTCAGCCTAAAATCTCCTTAAGCTAATAAGCAACTTCAGCAAAGTCTTAGGATACAAAATCAATGTGCAAAAATCACAAGCATTCTTATACACCAATAACAGACAAACAGAGAGCCAAATCATGAGTGAACTCCCATTCACAAATGCTTCAAAGAGAATAAAATACCTAGGAATCCAACTTACAAGGGATGTGGAGGACCTCTTCAAGGAGAACTACAAATTACTGCTCAACAAAATAAAAGAGGATACAAACAAATGGAAGAACATTCCATGCTCATGGATAGGAAGAATCAATATCGTGAAAATGGCCATACTGCCCAAGGTAATTTATAGATTTAATGCCATCCCCATCAAGCTACCAATGACTTTCTTCACAGAATTGGAAAAAACTACTTTAAGGTTCATATGGAACCAAAAAACAGCCCACATTGCCAAGACAATCCTCAGCCAAATCCTAAGCTGGAGGCCTCACACTACCAGACTTCAAACTATACTACAAGGCTACAGTAACCAAAACAGCATGGTACTGGTACCAAAACAGAGATATAGACCACTGGAACAGAACACAGCCCTCAGAAATAATACCACACATCTACCACTATCTGATCCTGGGCAAACCTGACAAAAACAAGCAATGGGGAAAGGATTCCCTATTTAATAAATGGTGCTGGGAAAACTGGCTAGCCATATGTAGTAAGCTGAAACTGGATCCCTTCCTTACACATTATACAAAAATTAATTCAAGATGGATTAAAGACTTAAATGTAAGACCTAAAACCATAAAAACCCTAGAAGAAAACCTAGGCAATACCATTCAGGACATAGGCATGGGCAAAGACTTCATGTCTAAAACACCAAAAGCAATGGCAACATAAGCAAAATTGACAAATGGGATCTAATTAAACTAAAGAGCTTCTGCAAAGCAAAAGAAACTACCATCAGAGTGAATAGGCAGCCTACAGAATGGGAGAAAATTTTTGCAATCTACTCATCTGACAAAGGGCTAATATCCAGAATCTACAAAGCACTCAAACAAATTTGCAAGAAAAAAACAACCCCATCAACAAGTGGGCGAAGGATATGAACAGACACTTCTCAAAAGAAGACATTTATGCAGCCAACAGACACATGAAAAAATGCTCGTCATCACTGGCCATCAGAGAAATGCAAATCAAAACCACAATGAGATACCATCTCACACCAGTTAGAATGGCGATCATTAAAAAGTCAGGAAACAACAGGTGCTGAAGAGGACATGGAGAAATAGGAACACTTTTACACTGTTGGTGGGACTGTAAACTAGTTCAACCACTGTGGAAGACAGTGTGTCGATTCCTCAAGGATCTAGAACTAGAAATACCATTTGACCCAGCCATCCCATTACTGGGTATATACCCAAAGGATTATAAATCATGCTGCTATAAAGGCACATGCACACATATGTTTATTGCGGCACTATTCACAATAGCAAAGACTTGGAACCAACCCAAATGTCCATCAGTGATAGACTGGATTAAGAAAATGTGGCACATATACACCATGGAATACCATGCAGCCATAAGAAAGGATGAGTTCATGTCCTTTGTAGGGACGTGGATGAAGCTGGAAACCAACATTCTCATCAGACTATCGCAAAAACAAAAAACCAGACACCGCATGTTCTCACTCATAGGTGGGAATTGAACAGTGAGAACACTTGGACACAGGAAAGGGAACGTCACACACCGGGGCCTGTTGTGGGATGCGGGGAGCGGGGAGGGAAAGCATTAGGAGATATACCTAATGTAAATGACGAGTTAATGGGTGCAGCAAACCAACATGGCACATGTATACATATGTAACAAACCTGCACATTGTGCACATGTACCCTAGAGCTTAAAGTATAATTTTAAAAAATATGTTTATTTTAAATAAAAAATGGAAATAATATTTTTGAAGTAAAATGATTTATTGATGAAAAATACTTGAAACAGAAGATACTAGAATAATACTTTCAATGTGCTGAAAGAAAATAACATTTAATCAAGAATTTTACACTCAGCAAAGTTACCATTCAAGAATGGGGGAGGATGAAATGTCATTTTCCTACAAACAGAAATGGGAACATTTTATCACCAAAAGAACCTCACGTAAAGAATTTTAAAGATATACTCTGGCAGAAGAAAAATCATCTCAGATGGAGAGTTGAGGATACAGGAGGGAAAAGAGAGCAAAGATATTGGTAAATATCTGAACAAATCTTTTTTAAAAAATTGACTATTGTCCTGGTCCATTCTGCTGCTGTAACAAAATACCTTAGACTGGGTAATTTATAAACAACAGAAATTTATTGCTTACAGTTCTGGGGGCTGGGAAGTCCACAATCAAGGTGCCCGCAGATTCAGCGTCTGGTGAATGCTTCAAAGATGGCCCTTTCTTGCTGCATCTTCACGTGGTAGAAGGGGCAAACTAGCTCCTGACGGCTTCTTTTATAAGGGCACTAATACCACTCATGAGGACAGAGTTAATCACCTCCCAAAGTCCTCAACACTTTATACTATTGCACTGGGGATTAGATATCAGCATATGAATTTGGGGTAAACAAAAACATTTAGACAATGGTAACTATATAAAACGATAAAAATAATGTCTCAATTATGGGAAGAAAAAATATGTTAGAATTCTTGAAAACAGCATGTAATTTGAGATACTGTGATTATAGTTAAGTATTCTAACAGGCCAGGCACAGTGGCTCACCCCTGTAATCCCAGCACTTTGGGAGGCTGAGGTGGGCTGATCACTTGAGTCCAGAAGTTCGAGACAAGCCTGGGCAATATGGCAAAACTCTCTTTACAAAAAGATACAAAAATTAGACCAGCATGATAGCACGTGCCTGTAGCTACTCGGGAAACTGAAGTGAAAGAATCACCTGAGCCTAGGAGGTCAAGGCTGCAGTGAGCCATGGTTGTGCCACTGCACTCGCCTGGGGTACAGAGTGAGACCCTCTCTTAAAAAAAATTTAGTCCTATTTTCTAGGAAGATATTAAATATTGATTATAGTTTTTTAAAGTTAAGTATGCATATTAAACTTATTAGGGTAATCACTAAAAGGATGGACGGAGTATACAACTTCCAGAAATAGAGGGAAGAAATTAATGAGGAAAATACTTAAAGTAAGATAAGAAAGGGAGAAAAAAACAAACAAACAAAACAAAACAAAAAAAAACAAAGACAAGTAGAAGGCATATGTATTGGTTAAAAAAAGTTATAATACGAATTCCCAGAACATCTTCCACTTAAAATTTTCCCATAGAACACTGCTTAGTTTCTCATATTCAAACTTGATAAACATGTATACCTTCATGTTTATCTGAAAAACAGCTTCAGCTGATACATATGAAAATTTTATATTTATATCTGAAAAATTCAGTAAATTTTCAAAAAAATTTTATTAAACTTTTAAGATGGTAATATAATTGTAGATTGGCATGCAGTATAAGGAATGATCCAGAGAAGTCCTGTGTACCCTTTACTAGTTTTTTCCAGTGGTAACATCTTACAAAACTATAGTACAAAATTACAGTTGGATGTTGACATTGATAACATCATGACACAACAATTTGTTCATTCTTTCATTTGTTCATGGGTACTTAGGTTGACTTCATATTTTGCCTGTTGTGAATAGTGCTGCACTAAATGTGGGAGTGCAGATGTGTTTTTGATATACTGATTTCCTTTCTTTTAGATATATACCCAGTAGTGCAATTGCTGGATCATATGATAATTCTATTTCTAGTTTTATGAGGAAATTTCATACTGCTCTCCATAGTGGCTGTACTATTGCTTTTCTATTGTCATTGCCCTTTTATTGCCACACCACCTCTCTGTCACCCAGCCCCCCTTTCCTAAACTCTGGCAACCACTAATCTATTTTCTAGTTCAATATTTTGCCATTTCAAGAATGAATATAATTAGAACCATACAGTATGTAGCCTTTTGGGATTGGTTTCTTCCATTAAGCATAATTTCCTGGAGATTCGACTAAATTGTTACATGGATCAATAATTCCTTACATTTTATTGTTGAGTAGTATTCCATACTATATATGCACTACAGTTTGTTCAACCATTTTCTGTTGAAGGACATCTGGGTTGTTTACAGTTTGTAATTATGATGAACATTACACCAAACGATGCGGTATCTAGGTTCCATGGCAGTTGCAGGTTTTCTGTTTAAATGAACTGTCAAATTATTATCCAGAGCAACTGTATCATTTTACAATCACACCAACAATATATGAGTGTGTCTCCACACCTTGCCAGTATTTGGAGTTGTCACTATTTTTATTTTAGCCATTTTGATAGTTTTGTAAATAGTTTTAATTTGCATTTCCCTAATGACTAGTAATTTTGAGCATCTGTTCAGGTGTTTTGCCTATTGTCTGACTGTGTTTTTTAGTTTTTTTATCCCTGATTTTTGAGAGTTTTTATGTGTTCTAGAAACCTGTCCTTCGTCAGATATGTGGATTGCAATTGTTTTCTCCCAGTCAATACATTGTCTTTTTTCCTCTTCACAGTGTCATTCACAGAGCAAAACTACTTAATTTCCATGAGGTCCAATTTATCATCTTTTTCTTTTAGCAGTTGTGTTTTTTTGATGTAAAGTCTAAGCACCCTTCACCTAGGCAAAGGTCCAAAGACTTTCTCCTGTGTTTTTTTCTAAAACTTTTATAATTTTACATTTTACCTTTAAATCCATTTGAGTTGATTTTTTTCTAAGGTGTGAGTTTAGGTTGAGGTGTTTTTTCGTTTGGTTGGTTGGTTGGTTTTTGTGTATGAACGACCACTTGCTCCAGTGCTACTTGTTTAAAAAAAAAAAAAAAAAAAAAAAAAGCTACCTTTCCTCTGTTGAATGGCTTTTGCACCTTTGTTGAAAATTAATCTGGCCTATTATTAGTTTAGTTCTAGTTCTGGTTTCTCTGTTCTGTTCTATATGTCTGTCCCTCTGTCAGTACCACATAATCTTTATCATTGTAGCTAAACAATAAGTCTTGAAATTGCATAGACAGATTCCTCCCACTTTAGTTGTCTTTTTCAAAATTTTTAGCTATTTTGGTCCCTTTTGTTTTCCATGTAAATTTTAGAATAAGTTTGTCTATATCTACAAAAAAATTGCTCAGATTTTTATAGGAATTACATTAAATCTGGATGTAAATTTGGGTGGAAGTGACATCTTTTCCATGTTGAGCCTCCATGAACACATTATGTCTCTTCCTTTAGATTGTCTTTGATTTCTTTTATTGCAGTTTTCAGTATAAAAAGTCTGAACATGTTTCGTTAGATTTACACTTAAGTATTTAATTGTGTTTTCAGTTATTGTAAATGGTGTTTTATTATTAATTTAGGTGTCCACCTCATGTTCATTGCTAATATATATAGAAATACAATTAATTCTTGGATGTTGATTTTATATTCTACAGCCTTGCTTAATTGCTAGTACTATTAATTCTAGGAGGGCTTTTTCTTTTTTTTTTTTTTGTTTTTTGTTTTGTTTGTTGTTTGTTTTGTTTTATTCTTTGGGATTTTCTGTATAGACAATCACATCATCTGCAAATAGGGGTAGTTTTACTTCATTCTTTGTGATTTATATGCCTTTTATTCTTTTTCTGCCTGTTGTCCTAGCTAAAACTTCCAGTGCTATTTTGAATAGCCATGGTGAAAATGGATATCCTTGCTCTTTTCCTGATCTTGGGGAGAAAGCACTCAATGTTTCACTATTAAGTATGTTAGTTGTACATTTCTTATAAAAGCTCTTTTTCAAATTAAAGAAGTCCATCCCTTAATTTCTACATTTTTTGAGAGTTTTTATCATGGATCAGTGTTTGATTTTGTCCGGTGAATTTCCTGTGTTAATTGATATGATTGCATGATCTACTTTTTCTTCTTAGATTGTTGATATGATGCATATGTTGATTTATTTTCAAATATTGAGCTGGTCTTGAATTCTTGGAGTAAACCCACTTGGTCCTAGTATATAGTTCTTTTTACTTATTCCTGACTTCTATTTGCTAATATTTTAGTAAGGATTTTTATATCTATATTCATAAGAGATACTGGTCTATATTTTTCTTTTTTATACTATCTTCATCTGATTTTGGTATCAAGTTAATACTGGCTTCATAAAATGAGTTGTGATATTCCCTCCACTTTTACTCTCTGGAAGAGTTTATGTAAAATGTATATTAATTTTTCTTTAAACATTTCAGAGAATTCACTAGTGGAACCATCTGTCCTAGAGCTTTATTTTTCTAGAGTTTTTTTACTATAAATTGAATTTTCTTAAAAGTTACAGGGCTATTTATCTATTTTATATATGGTTAATGTAGTATTTTATGCTTTTTGAGAAATTTGTCCATCTCATCTAAGTTGTCTAATTTATGTATATAGATTTGCTCCTAGTATTCTCTTATTGTTATTTTCTCGTCTTGAGAGTCTGTATTAATACGCCTGTTTCATTCCTGATATTGGTAATTTCCATCTTTTTTTCAGTCTTGCTTAAGATATTTCCATTTTATTTATCTTTTCAAAGAACAAGCTTTTTGTTTCATTGACTATCTCTGTTTTTCTGTTTTAAATTTCACTGTTATCTGCTCTTTATTATTTCATTCCTTCTCCTTGTTTGGGGTTCATTTTGCTCTTTATCTAGTTCTTGAGCTGGAAGCTTGTTATTGATTTGAGACTTTTCTAATGTAAACTTTAGGAGCACTGATTTAGGTGCATTCCATGAATTTGATATGTTATATTTGCATTTTTATTCATCTTAATGTATCTTTTTATTTTTTGAGATTTTTTTCTTTTTTTTTTAATCTATCTAACACTAGGTCTTATTTCTTCTATCAAACTTCATATGTGCCCATCAATCAACTTCTCATCTTTCCCTCCTCCCCACTACCCTTCCTGGCCCCTGGTAACAACCAATCTACTACCTATCCTCATGAGATTCACTTTTTTAGCCCCCACATTATGAGGGAGAACTTGCGACATTCTTCCTTCTGTGCTTGCCTTGTTTCATTTAACATAATGACTTTTAGTTCCATCCATGTTCCTGCAAATGATAGGATTTCATTTTTTAATCAGTGAATAATGTTCCATTGTATATAGATACTGCATTTTCTTTATCCATTTGTATGTTCACTGGTACTTAGGTTGAATCCATATTTTAGCCATTATGAATAGTGCTGCAGTAAATGTGAGAGTGCAGATGTCTTTTCAATATGTTGATTTCCCTTCTTTTGGATATATATCCAGCAGTGCAATTGCTGGATCGTATGGTAATTCTATTTCTAGTTTTATGAGGAAATTCCATACTGCTCTCCATAGTGGCTCTACTAATTTACATTTCCACCAACAGCGTACAAATGTTTCCTGTTTTCCAAATCCTTACCAGCATGTGTTACTGCCTGTCTTTTTGATAAAAAGCCATTTTAACTGGAGTAAAATGATATCTAATTGTAGTTTTGGTTTGCATCTATCTGATGATTAGTGGTGTTGGCCATTTGAATGCCTTCTTTGGGAAATGTCTATTCATATAGTTTGCTCATTTTTTAATTGAATTATTTGTTGTTTTTGTTGTTGTTGTTTTCTGTCAAGCTATCTGAGCTCCTTAGATAGTCTAGTTATTAATCCTTTGTCAGACAGGTAGTTTGAAATGTTTTCTTCCATTCTGTGGGTTGTCTCTTTGCTTTCCTGATTGTGTCCTTTGCTGTGCAGAAGCTTTTTAGTTTTGTATAACCCCATTTGTCTATTTTTGCTTTTGTTGCTTGTGGTTTTGAAGTCTTAGACAAAAATCTTTGCCTGGAAAGATGTCCTGGAGCATTTCCTCAGTGTTTTCTTCTAGTAGTTTCATGTTTCAGGTCTTAGATTTAAGTCTTTATTTTGATTTGATTTTTGTGTATGGTAAAATATAGGGGTCTAATTTCATACCTCTGCAAGTGGATATCCAGTTTTCTCCACATCATTAATTGAAAAGACAGGTCTTTCCCCATTGTTTGTTTTTGGCACCTTTGTGAAACATGACTTGGTTATAAATACATGAATTTATATTTGAGTTCCTTATCTTCCCCATTGGTCTCGCATATCTGTTTGGTGTCAGTACCATGTTGATTTGGTTACTATAGCTTTGTAGTATATTTTGGAGTCAGGTCATGTGATGTGATACCTCCAGCTTTGATTTTTTTGCTCAAGATTGCTTTGGATATTAGGCTCTTTTGTGGTTCCATATGAATTTTAGGATTGTTTTTATATTTCTGTGGAAAATGTCATTGATATTTTGATAGAGATTCCACTGAATGTCTAGATTACATTGGGTACTATGGTCATTTTAACAATATTCTTCCTATCATGAGCATAGAATATATTTCCATTTTTTTATGTGCTCTTCAGTTTCTTTCATCAATGTTTTATGGTTCTTCTTGTATAGGTCTTTCACTTCTTTGGTTGAATTGATTCCTAGTTATTTTATATCTTTGGAGATATTATAAATGGGGTTGCTTTCTTGATTTCTTTTTTGGATTGTTCACTATTGGTATATAGAAATGCTACTGCTTTTTGTATGTTGATTTTGTGTCCTGTAACTATATTGAATTTGTTTATCAATTCCAACAGTGTTTTAGTGGAGTCTCCAGATTTTTCTAACTATAAGGTCATGTCATCTGCAAACAAGTCTACTTTCACTTCTTCTCTTCCAGTTTGAATGCCCTTTGTTTCTTTCTCATGCCTAATTGCTCTGGCCAGGACTTCCATTTTGAAAAAAAGTAGTGACAGTGAAGATCCTTGTTTTGTTCCAGATCTTAGAGGAAAGGCGTTCAATTTTTTTCCTTTTCAGTATGCTAGTAACTGTGGGTTTGTCATATATGGTCTTTATTATGTTGAGGTATGTTCCTTCTATACTCAGTTTGAATGAGGGTTTTTATCATAAAAGCATGTTGAGCTTCATTAAATGTTTTTACAGCATATATTGAAATAATCATAGGGTCTTTATTCTTGGTTCTATTAATGTAGCATATCACATTTATTGATTTGCATATGTTGAACCATCCTTGGGATGAATCCCACCTGATCATGGAGAATGATCTGTTCAATGTGTTGTTGAACTTGGTTTACTGACATTTTCTTGAGAATTTTTGCATTTGTATTCATTGGGGAGGGTGGCCTGGGTTTCTCTTTTTGTTTTATCCTTTTTGGTTTTGGTGTCAGGGTAATGCTGGCCGCATAGAATGACTTTGAAAGTATTCCCTCCTCTTCAATTTTTTTTAGAAAGTTTGATTAGAATTGCTATTATTTCCAAACTACCATCAGAGATACTATAAATACCTCTACACAAATAAACTAGAAAATCTAGAAGAAATGGATAAATTCCTGGACACATACACCCTCCCAAGACTAAACCAGGAAGAAGAAAAGAATGTGTATTCTGCAGCAGTTGGGTGAAATGATTTGTAAATATCAGTTAGGCATATTAGGTCTGGTGTATAGTTTAATTTGGATGGTTCTTTGTTGATTTTCTGTTTAGATGACCTGTTCACTACAGAGAGTGGAGTATTACAGTCCCCTACTATTATTGTATTGCAGTTATCCCTTAAGATCTATTAATGTTTGCTTTATATACTTGGCAGCTCCAGTGGTGGGTGCACAGATATTTATAATTGTTATATCATTTTGCTGAATTGACCTCTTTATCATTATATAATCTCCTCCTTTGTCTATTTTTACAGTTGTTTACAGTTATGGCTACAGTTGTTACAGTTACAGTTGTTACAGTTACAGTTGTTGATTTGTAGTCCATTTTATCTAAGTATAACTACTCCTGCTCTGTTTTGGCTCCCAGTTGCATGGAATATCACTTTTCACCCCTTCACTTACAGTCTATATGTGTCTTTAGAGACGAAGTGGATTTCCTGTAGGTAACACATAGTTGAGTCTTATTTCTTTATCCATTCAGGCACTCTATGTCTTTGCCTTGGAGAAGTGAGTTAATTTACATTAAATGTTATTATTGATAAGTAAGGACTTACTCCTGCCATTTGTCATTTGTTTTCTGGTTGTTTTATAACTCCTTTCTCCCTTTTTTACTTTCTTCATATGTGGTTTCAGTGATTTTCTCTGGTAGTATCTTTTAATTTGTTGCTTTTTATTTTTAGTTAATCTGTTGTAGGTATTTGCATTGTGGTTACCATGACGCTTATAAAAAATACCTTATAACAAGTTATTTTAAAAAGATGACAACTTATCTTAGATCACAGAAATGGGAACAGAAACTGAAAAAATGGGAAAAATCTTTTACACTTTACTTCCATCTTCCCCACATTTAGACTCGTATTGTCTCAATTTGCATATTTTATATTACCTATCTCTTAACAGGTTGTTGTAGCTCCTATTGTTTGTGATATATTTATCTATTCGCCTTCATACTGGAGTTATGATTGTGTGTCCAGAGTTGGTTCCTTCCGGTGGGTTCGTGGTCTCGCTGACTTCAAGAATGAAGCCGCGGACCTTTGCAGTGAGTGTTACAGCTCTTAAAGGTGGCGTGGACCAAAAGAGTGAGCAGCAGCAAGATTTATTGTGAAGAGTATAAGAACAAACCTTCCACAGGGTGGAAGGGGAATCAAGCAGGTTGCCCCTGCTGACTAGGGTTGGCCAGCTTTTATTCCCTTATTTGTCCCCGCCCATGTCCTGCTGATTGGTCCATTTTACAGTGTGCTGATTTGTCCATTTTACAGAGGGCTGATTGGTCCATTTTACAAATCTCTAGCTAGCCACAGAGCGGTGATTGGTGCGTTTTTACAGAGCACTGATTGGTGTATTTTACAAACCTCTAGCTAGCTGTAGAGCACTGATTGGTACGTTTTACAATTCTAGCTACAGAGTACTGACTGGTGCATTTTACAATCCTCTTGTAAGACATAAAAGTTCTCCAAGTCCCTGGTTGACCCAGGAAGTCCAGCTGGCTTCACCTCTCAATGCCCCCTTTAGACAGGACACCCCAACTGCTGTTGGGAATTGGGCGATGCTTGCTCTAGCTACTTCCTGCTGGAAAGGGGCACAGAAGGGGCCCTACAGTGGTAGTGTCCTCCAGAGGGGAACTCTCTAGGCCAGCCAAAGGGTCAGTGGGTTGGTCCAGGGGTCCTCGGTAGAAGTTGTTCATTGAGCTCATTTGGGGTTCCATTGGTAAGACATCTTACTGCTTTTAGGATTCTGTCTTCATTCATGACCTCTGATTGATTATTGTATGCCTTGGAGTAGTCTTATTTGGGTCCTATCCATTTGGTGTTCTCTGACCTTCCTGTACCTGAATATTTATATCCTTGTGAAGATTTGGAAAGTTCTATTATTATTTCTTTGAATAAGCTTTCTACCCCTTGATCTTCCTCAACTCCCTCTTGAACATCAATAAAATAATTTCTAGATTTGTTGTTTTGATGTGATTTTCTGTATCTTACCGGTGATCTTCATTGCTCTTCATGCTTTTTGCTTTTTTCTTCTCTGTGTATTTTCAAATAGCCTATCTTTGAGCTCACTGACTCTTTCCTCTGCTTGATCCATTCTACTGTTGAGAGCTTCTAACGAACTTTTCAGTTGAACAAATATATATCTCAGTTCCAAGGTTAATGTTTGGTTTTTAATTATTTCAATCTGTTCATTAAATTTTTATCATAAATTTTGAATTGCTTTTCTGTGTTACCTTGGAGATCACTGTGTTTTCTTAAAACTACTATTTTGAGCTCTTGGTTAGGGAGCTCACATATTGCTGTTTCATTAGGGCCAGTTACTGTTTCATTGCTCTGTCCACTTGGGAAGATCATGGTTTCCTGTTTACTATTGTTTCTTTTGGATGTATGTACATGTCTTTGCATTGGAGGATTAGTTATATTTATTCCAGTGTTCTGTCTGGCTTGTTTCGCTTTTTTGTGTTTGTTTTTTATAATCTCAACTTTTAGATTCAGGGGTACATGTACAGGTTTGTTACATGGGTATATCACATAATGCTGAGGTTTGTGGTACAAATGATCCCATCACCCAGGTAATGAGCGTAGTATACAAAAGGTTGTTTTTCAGCCCTTGCCCCGCTCCCTCTCTCATACCTTGGTAGTCCCCAGTGTCTATTGTTCCCATCTTTATGTCCATGTGTACCAAATGTTTAGCTCCCACTTACAAGTGAGAACATTCAGTATGTGGTTTTCTGTTCCTGCATGAATTTGCTTATGATAATGGCCTCCAGGTACGTCCATGTTGCTGCAGAGGACATGATTTAATTCCTTTTATGGCTGTATAGTATTCCATGGTGTGTATGTATCATGTTTTCTTTATTCAATTCAGGATATATTTGATTCGAGGCTTTTTTTTTTTTTTTTACCACTTCCCCATTTTCAGTCCTAGGTGACACATTATCCCCAGGTTCACCTAAGCTCTAGTAAATGATCAGAATGCTACCCTTCTCGGGTGAGGGAGGTGAAACATGGTATATCCTTCCAGTGTAGGAAAGCTAAGCCAGTGTTTCGTGCCCAGGGAACCTGTGGGATGCACCTCCTACAGCGTGGTACTGCTGAACAGCCATCATGATTTAGCATCTCCTTTGGCTGAGTTTATGAGCAGAGTTTCCAGGGTCAGAGACTATAATCCCACCTCCTCCCTTTGTCTCTGCCTATCCTCAGGTATATTTGTTCCTTCAGACACTTGTGATGCTTCCCATGGGTTAAGGCAGGGACAGGTCTACTGCCAGGGCATGCAAAATGATGGAAAGCTGGCTGTTCACCTTGATCTCACTTTTTCCAATGTTAAAACAGTAAGTTAGAGGAAAATTTTCTACATGCTTCGTGCAAGGCAGGATGGGGAGGAGGAACATCATGGATGTGGAAATCTGATATTCTTACTGTCTGTTCAGAGTTTTTTCACTTCTTTCTGGCCCCAGGGCCACATCTCATCTTCATATTTGAGTTCTGGGATATTTCTAGTGATATTCTCTGTGCTGTTCATTTGCTTTTGGTTTCCTGTTGAGAGGAGTGAAGTCAGCCTGCTCGTACATTGCCATTTTGAAACCAGAAGTCTCTGGTTTCTTGAGATTTCCTCTTTGATCCATAGATTATTCAGAAGTTTATGGTTTAGTTTCCAAGTGTATAGGAATTTTCCTGTTATCTTTCTGTTACTGATTTCAACTTTGCTTCCACTGTGGTCAGAGAAGTTACTCTATAATTTCAATTCTTTTAAATTTGTTTAGGTTTATTTTTATGGTCACAGATATGGTCTATATTGGTAAAAACAATGTGTATTATTCTGTCAGCTGGAGTGTTCTACAAATATCAATTCGATCCTGTTGATTTGTGTTGCTGAGTTCTTCTATATGCTTGCTAGTTGTCTGTCTAGTCATTCTATCATATACCATTAAAGTGACTTGTATCCAAAATATACAGAGAACTTCTAGATATTTAACCAATTTATGTGAAAACTTACATCCACACAAAAATCCACATGCAAATGTTTTTAACAGCCTTATTCGTAATTGCCAAAAGTTGGAATCAACCAAGATTTACTTCAATAGGTAAATGGATAAGCAAATTATGCTGCATCCATACAATGGACTCTTATTCAATAATAAAAGGAAATGAGCCATCAAGCAACCAAAAAAGACATCCTTACATGCATATTGCTGAGTAAAAGAAGCCAGTGTGAAAAGAATACATATTATATGGTTCTAACTTTATGACATTGTAGTAAAAGTAAAATTATAAGAACAGTAAAATGATCAGTGTTTGCCCAGAGTTTTTGAAAAGAAAGATATAGGTGAATGGATAAAGCTGAACAGATTTTTTAGAGCAGTAACACTATTTGATATGAAGTAGAAATACGGAAACATGACATTATACATTTGTCAAAACTCATAGAACTTTATCACAAGGAAGGCTTAATATATGCAAATTGCATTTGATGGATCCCAGAAAGCAATGAGGACTCTGCCAAGAGAATTTAAATGCATTACAAAATAAATAAAACAACCTCATGGAAGCGGGTGGAGGGGAAAAGTACTGACCTAAATAACTTTGGATATGAGTGGAGTCTGTAAGACTAAAGGTAAAAGCAACTGCACATAAGCGCTTTAGTTGATAAAGTTGTATCCCATGGAGGTATGGGTTAACAATTCTAATTTTAATATATATGTATACTGGAATTGAACAGTTAATAAATGGATGGCAGGTAGTGAGACAGGTTTCTCACTGTCACAGTGGGAAATCACATATGTACAAGCAAGGGGAAGAGGCTAGAATGATCCATGTGATCCTAGGTAATGAATTAGAGTTGGAGACATCAGTATGAACTCATATCTAGCTTTAACATAGATACAAATGGTTACATACAGAAATATTTGTTTTATATATATATATATGCACACACAGGTTAGTTTACACACGTATTCCTTTGCTTTGTCAGCAGAGAGGGTCTAAAATAAATGACATATCAATATGAAATGATATAATTAATGCTGAAATCTTAGTTTTTATTACCATTTGGCAATAAAAGGAGCCTGGGTTCCTTGGAGAAGTGGCTGATTCTGGGACCAAGGCAGGAAATATACAAGATGAACCTGGTATATCTCGTAGTGCTTAAAAGTAAGGAAGCACTCAAGAAAACAAACTACAACAAAACACACATTGGCGGGTATATATTAAAGGGGCATAGGAGTCAATTGACATCTCCCGATGACCAAAGATGTAAAAATGTGAGCAACAAAATAAGCAACAAGCAGTATCTTATTATAATCCAAAGTATAAAATAAACATCCATGACTCCATGCTTATACAAATAACTTTTTGCACAAATTAATTCATGAGGGAGAAGAGACAAATGTCCTGTGCATATAATTTCCAAATAATTTATATAGATGCTCCACCCTCAAGGAAGGGGCACATAACTCCTCACTTCTTAGGCATGGGCTACATACAGTGACTTCCTTCCAAAGAGTACAGAACTGGGGTCAGGTTGGGGAAGAGTAACTTTGCTATGGGGAGCACCTGACAAATACCTCAGCTAAGAGATCAAGATCAGTATCAACATTCATTAGTCAGATTGATAGCATATACCTGTGATATGATGTAATAAAAATGGCTGTATATCTCTATAGTCTTCTTCCAAAAATCCCATAACCCTAATCTTATCATCAGAAAATATCAGACAGACACCAGAAGTGGGCATTCTGCAAAAAAAAAAAAAACTGACCAGCACTTACCAAAGCTATCAAGGTCATCAAAAACAAGGAAAGCCTGAGCATCTATCACTGCCAAGAAAAGCATAAGGAGACATGACAGCTAAATGTAATTTGGTAATCTGAATGGGATCCTGAAACAGAAAAAGGGTATTAAGTACAAAGTAAGAAGCATGAATAAACTGTGGGCTTTAGTTAATAATAATGTGTCAATATTGGCTCATTAATTGCCACAAAGGTTCCATAATAATACAAGATGTTAAATGTAGGGGAAACATGGTACAGAGAATATGGGAACTCCCTATACTATCTTCTGCATTTTTCTGTAAATCCAAAACTGTTCTTAAAAATGAAGTCAATTTAATCAAATAATAACGGGATATTCTATACAACTGTCAAGGAGCAAATGATTTCAATATTATTTAAATTGTTCCTGAGTGTAGTAAAACGTAAACATTTCTCAATTCATGTTATGAGTCTGGGATAATCTTATTACAAAACTAGAAAATGATAGTAGAAAAAAGGGAAAATGTAGGTGAATATTCATTGTGAACATGGATGTGAAAACTTCAAAAATAAGATACTAACATATCAAATCTAAAAGTATATTTTTAAAAGATACATCAGGATAAAGATGGATTTATTTCAAGGACACAAAGATGGTTAACTGATTAACATGAATCACTGCATTAACAGATTAAGGGAGAAAAGTCATATGACCTTCTCAATTGATGCAGAAAAAGCATTTGATAAAATTCCAAACCTGTTTATGAATAACGACTCTTAGCAAGCAATGATTCGAAGGGAACTTCCTTAATTTGACAAAGCAAATATAGTTAATAATTAGATATTGTTAGTATTCTCTTTAAAGTTAGGAATAAGACAGAGTCCAAGTATACTTCTGTCCAATATTGTACAAAGTAAAAAAAAAATGATACAAGCATTGAAAAGGACAAGTAATCTCCCATGATTACTACATGGGAATTATTAAAAAATCAGTAGTCTTTTAGAAGTAATGGAAGAGTTCATCAAGTTTGTTGGATAGAAGATCAGGATACATCAGTTGCTGTCCTATAAACCCAAGGTGTATTTTTTAAAGGGACCAAATTTCATATTTACTGTTTATTTCATGATGTAGAGATTGTAACTGTAACAGTTTCTGAGCATTCCTCATTTCATCAAAATGGATTTAATAAATGTCTAACTGGTGAAGATACTGTATTAGGTGCTATACAATAGGTTCTATGCAGAATCGACCCTCTAGAAGTTTATAATTTTGGGGCACCCTGCACTAACAGACGGAAATACACTAACTGCAGAACAGAAATAATAAGCCAGTACATATATGAACACTAAAATGTTTAGATTTAAGTTTAAAATTACAAATAAAGAGACTTTATCTCAACCTTTTTATTGTGAAAAATTTCAAACATATACCAAATTGAAAGAATTTTACAGTGAATACTTAAGATTCTACTATTAACATTTTATTGTAGTTGCTTTATATCTGTCATCTATTCGGCCAAAAGAAATTAAAAAAGAAAAACACTGACAACATCTAGCATTGTCAGGAGAAGCAGCAACAGTGTGTTGATAGGAATGTAAATTGGTACAAACACTATGGAAAATTACTTTTATACAGTAAAACTGCACATCTGCTTATTCCTGTGACTCATAAAATCTGCTTCTAGCTATTTACCCTAGAACATTAGCTTTCAAATGTTTTTGACCATAAGCCACAGTAAGAAATGTACTTAACATTGTAATTCAGTACACACACACATATGTATATATATGTCTCTATGTATGTGGGTATGCATATATGCATATATATCTACATAAACAATATGCACACACATACATATACAAAAGGCACAAACTTTTCTGAGTCAATATTTATCCTAACTTCCAGGAAAGCATTCTGATATTTTCTGTTCTGTTCTTTTTTAAAAAATGCTAGTTATGGCAACTGAAGTCAGTTTACTGCCCTGTTAATTGGTCGTGACCTACAATTTGAAGAACACTGTCCTAGAGAAAGCTGTGCACATATGTAATATTGTGCAGCATTGAAAATGAACTATAGCTATGCATATCAGCATGGAGGAGTTTCACAAACACAGTGTTGAGTGAGAAAACCAAGTTGTATAAGAATATGCACAGTATGATTTCATTTGTATATAAATTTCAAAAGCATGCTAAAATGAAAATATATTTAGATAAACATATGTGGAAAAGTTTTTTTTAAGTGAATGATTTATATAAGCACCACATGGATGAACCTTGAAAACATGTTAAGTAAAAGAAGCAAGTCACAAAAGGTGACATATTATATGTTTCCCTTTATATGAAATGTCTAGAATAGGCAAGTCTGTATGGACAGAAAATAGCTTAGTGAATGCCTAGGGCTGGGAGTTGCAAGAAAATGTGGAATGACTGCTAATGGGTATGGGATTTTTTTGTGGAGGGTGATGAAAATGTTCTAAAATGGATTACCAGGATGATTGTACAACTCTGAGAATATACTTTAAAAACTATTGAATTGTATCCTTTAAATGGGTAAGTTGTATGGTATATGAATTTTATATTGATAGAGCTGTTTTACAAAAAAGTAAGAATGTTTTAAAATTCAGGATAATAGTTATTTGGAGAAGAAGGGACTTGAGATCAAGTCAAGGCACGCAGTACTCTTTGAAAGTATCAGTGATAGTCTATTGCTTCACCTAGGTAGTAGGCACATCAGTGGGATTTTTATTGTTATTGTCTGTTTTATACACGTCATACCTTGTTGTGTATTTAATATTTAACAGAAATTTTAAGAGAAGCAATATTTTTCATATTCTTCTATTCTCATGCCTGTTGTGATCAAGTTTAACATAGAATATTGAACTTCTAGTGTAAATCTAGATTAGGACCAGTTTTCATCCAAATATGTCCTGTTTTTAAAAATTACTCTTTTTGTATTAAACTTTCAAAAAAATTGGAATAAAAAGGTAACTATCCCATTATATAGTCTGTGGGTCAGAATATTCTTAACTATAACCTGTTCGCTTTTCTTCATCACCTTTGCAACCACCCTAATTCACCTGTTACATTTTTCGACATTCTCTTAACTGTATTCCTTGCTTCCTTTCTTGCACCTCTCCAAACAACTTTCTACTTTGCAGCCAGAAATATCTTTTGAAAATACAGATATTAGTATGTTATTTCTCTGCTCAAAATTTTTTAGCAAAATCTCACTCTCCACTGTAGATAAAGACTGAATTCTTTAAGATTACTTTCCAGGGCCTATATATAATTTGTCACTGCTGCTTTTTGCATCAGCTTCCACCCACACTTGTTGTTGTTTTTACCACACATATCAGGTTCTATTGTTAGCTTCTGAGTACTTTGTACATGCCCTTTTCTCTGCCTTGAATGTTCTTCCTTCTCTCTTTACCTCTGTAACAACTACCAGTTCTTCAGGCAGAAGCTTAGATTTTTTCCTTCCTTATAGAAGCCTTCTCTTAACTACCCCTACCCTTCCTTACCTAAGACTAAAATGCCCTTCCTATTGTTCCCAAAGGATTTTTGCTTAATATACATTTACATTTATTTAAAATATGCTTTATATTTTATATACATAAACAAAAACAATGCGCTATGTAACATGCTGAATCAGATACATGAGAGAAAATAAACTAAGAATGAGTCAACTCGTATTTAGTGTTTTTTGTTATCAGACTTTCTTTTCTTTATATCTTCTGTCATCCCCTTTCAGTTCATCTTAGACTATTATTCCTGAAATAGTGCTTGGTAATATTAGTAATAGCAGAATCCATGTATCATCTCCAATGCCTTAAGAATACATTCTAGCTCTTTACAGTGAATTCATGACTTCTACTGTCTTAATTCTAATGTACTTTTTAAGGAAAGATGGACCAAATATTTATTTAATGCCTATTATGTACTAGATTATACTGTACCTTATATTTCAAAGATTATGTTAACCCTTTTAACAACTCAGGTTATGGAAACTAAGGATTAAAGAAGTTTAGTAATGAAGACAGGATTACACTAATAGTAAATAGTAGTACCAAAACTCAAGCACAGTTTATCACAGCAGTTCTCAAACTTTTCCATGGATGAGAGTCAACTAGAGAACTTGTTAAGATACAGATTACTGGACCCCACCCTCATAGTTTTTTATCCAATATATCAGCAACAGAGAGGAGGGGATAAGGGTGGTATGGGACATTTTGCCTTTCCAACAAATTCCTGTATGATGCATATGTTTCTGGTCCAGAGACCACAAATTGAAAAATACTAATCTGTCAGACAGCAACATCTTTCCACTGGTCCTTCTTAGCCTCATATTACTCCTCTATAAGTAAGCAAGTGGATGCTTGCTGGTGAGAGACAATATACTCAAAATGCACTTGGTGCTTTTTTTAACTCTATGCTTTTGCATTATTTTTCCCCTCCTCCTAAACTGCCCTTCTTTTTGATTTTTGTTTTGTTTTGTTTTTTTGAGACGAAGTCTTACTACTGTCACCCAGGCTGGAGTGCAATGGCACAATCTCTGCTCATTGCAACCTCCGCCTCCCAGATTCAAGCGATTCTTCTGCCTCAGGCTCCTGAGTAGCTAGGATTACAGGAACCTGCTACCACACCCGGCTAATTTTTTGTATTTTTAGTAGAGACAGGGTTTCACTATATTGGCCAGGCTGGTCTCGAACTCTGACCTTGTGATCCTCCCACCTCGGCTTCCCAAAGTGCTGGGATTACAGGCATGAGCCACCACACTGGCTACTTTTTTTTAACCTATGGTACTTTATACCAATTTGTGTTACTACTTACTATCTTGTGTTGTAGTTGTTTATATGCTTTAATGTTCTACATTTTACAATTATAAACTTCTTAAGCATTTGGGTTGCATTTATTCCATAATACTTAGTACAGATCTTTAGCTATTTGATAAATATTGGAATATGCTAAAACTTTGGTGCTTATAGTT
Source organism: Homo sapiens (assembly GCF_000001405.40). Classification (NCBI taxonomy): domain Eukaryota; kingdom Metazoa; phylum Chordata; class Mammalia; order Primates; family Hominidae; genus Homo; species Homo sapiens. The sequence goes on from NC_000014.9 coordinate 66,913,845, forward strand.
TTTAAATTATTGAATGATATAATGTTTGTAAAAATACTTTATTAATCCTAAAGCATTATATAGAGGAGGAGTACTTTCTTCTTGCAGTGACTCTGGACATTCTATAGATGAAAAAGTATGTCTTAAAATTAATTTTTAAACACTTCAAAGAGATCAGGGAAATGAGAAAGAATACATAAATCTCTGATGTAATGTTTTGACAAAATAGTAAAAAAAAAAATTGATGGGAAATAACAAATGTAATCTCCTGGCTGTATAGAAACCTTTAATTATATCACATATGCATACATACACACACACAGAAAAATAGTGGTCTGGATGTAACTGTTGGTTATATTAGCACTGCTACTAAGGTGTCAACCTAGAGCAAGTGAAGTATTATTGGAGACATAAAAAGCCTGGATTTGATTACCAAAAATTGGAATAAAAAGAATTAACTAAGTTTTCACTTGCCACTAACCTTCTAATGGAGGGAGTTACAACATTCTTGGAAAATAAAATCCAACACATTTCATAACGTGATAAAATTGTTACAGTGATGTCAGTAAGGATAAGTTAATGGACATTAATAAACACAAGATGGAATGAACTTACTGGATAAAATTACAAAAATCCCAGAGCTATGTATTAATCAAATTCTTTGTACTCCAAATTATTTTTCCATATTTTGTAGGTAACTATATTTGTCTTTCCTTCATAGAAATATTGGGAGGATAATATGCAGTAATTGTTATGGTAATATTTCTAGTTTTTAGAAGGAAAGGTGCTACAAACTTCCGGATGTAGCTAATACTATATTCTACGAGGGATTATTGTGCTCTTAGTTAAAATTCTAGATTTATTCAATAAATTGCTAGATTTGCTTACATGAAAATAGAGAACTTAATATTGATGACATTCCAATCATATTACTGGTGATATTATAATCAATTAGCTATCATATTGACAAAAAGCTAAAATGTAGCATTTTAGTTTGGAAAGAAAAACAAAATTCCTAAGTAAACAGGAACATATTAAGAACTATATAATTACCCAGTGCCATTTTGTCACTAAAGTACTTTATCCAATTCTGACTGCCAGAACTAAAACAGATTTTGAAGAAATATCATTAAGATTAAAGGTCAGAAAATAGCCTTAAAGTTTTTAATGAAATAATGAATAGTTTTTCTAGTAAGAAGAAGGCCAGCAGGTGATTCAGTAAACATTTTCAGATATATGGAAAGTTGTAAATAAATGGCAATCTTCTCTTTCAGATTGTAAGTAGGACAAGAAGAAAAAGTAATAAAATATAGGACAGTTTTAGGTTATTTCAGAGAATAAGAGTGGTTAAAGAAAAACTCAGTCAAGACATTTGGGGAAGAGTGTTCTTACATTACTTTAAAAATACTGTAAAATTTTAAAAATAGCATAATCTCTTTGTTTTCAAATTATGAAAATGAGATAATGTTACCAGATCAGAGTAACACAACCAGTCAATGACAGCATAATTCCAGCTCTCATATGAAAATCTAGGCCTTTGCTCCTTGACTCCAGTCTTCCACTGCTTTTCCATTTTTTTATGTTTCTTAACCAGTTAGTTTAAATGTAGCCTGGAAATTGACAATTATCTCTGAAAGATGTTTCTAGCTTAAAATGCCTGTGATTATCAGTGGGTCTATTAATGAATGAGCTCTCCAACCTCTTCCCTTCTGCCATTCACTTGTGAAAAACCTTGTTTTACTTTAAAACTTATAGACTTCCTGAGAAGCAAGAGCTCAAATCTAAATCTTAAGTGCTTTTTGTGTTAGACTTTTGAACATAAATATCACTAGGCATTTTTAATGCACTATCTCAAACTCTTAAACAATTGTATAAAATATGAAGAAGCTGAAGTTAGACAAAATAGGTAATTAGACTTGGTCAGATTGCTTAAAAGTAGGTAAATTATTCTGATTCCACATTCAGTACATTTTTTCCAATTTGCCATACTAACCATAATGTAAAAACTTCAACCAGAATGCCTAATTTGTATAGCAAGCAGTGAATGTCTTAAGATAACACTTTTATTCCTAAAACAGTTGTTCACATGTAAAGTAAAATGATTGTTATTTGTTCTTAATGTATTTAAACCGGGCATTCATAGCAATTTAGTGTTCATCTACTTTCTCTTTTCTTTCAGGCCTGTATGTGGAATCAGAGGGAAAACGCTCATAATTAACCTGCCAGGTAGCAAGAAAGGATCTCAGGTAAATCACCTGGACATATTAATGGTTTAGTGTAAGAGCTTTTGACCAGCCGTGAAAGTTAGCCAGCCAAAAAGTTGGAGCACTCCACAAGACTGCCCTCACATCTGATACCAATTGCAGGATTCCCAAAGTCACTCTTGGGTTCAGTAATTCAATGGAAAGACATAGAACTCACTAAAAACTGTTACACTTACAGTTATGGTTTATTATGGGGAAAGGATACAGATTAAAATCAGCCAAGAGAAGAAGTGCATAAGACAACGTCCAGGAATACTACCAAACACAGAGAGCTTCCCTTGTCCTCTCCTTGTAGAGTCATCAATGCTTTACTCTCCTGGCATTCGTGTATGATAATATACTTGTAATATTTTTAATCAGAGAAGCTCACCTGAGTTTTTGATGTCCAGAGTTTTTTTTTTTTTTTTTGGTTTGGTTTTTTTTTTTGTTTTGTTTTGTTTTTTTTGCAGTTCATTATATTTTGCCCATGTGAATGACCTTTAGTCTTTAGCGCTTCCCAGAGATTGGATTGATAGCATTAGTCTCCAGTATGTTCCAGAACTGACACCATGTGGCCAAAAGTCCCCATCATAAGTCATATTGTTAGATTGTGTGGTGGCCAAAGCCATCAGGTAAACAAAGACACTGCTGTCACACATGACATTCTGAACATCTAGAGATCTCCTCCAACTAGTTAAGGGCAACTACTTTTACCCTCAGACTCTCTTTGGGTACTGTTAATTCTTTGCTGTACAAGCTACCCCCTGGCCTTTGGCCAAGGCTTTTTTTATTGTATAGCAACACAGTCATGTTTGTCTGGGCATCTATATTTACTATGGTATTTATGTGACAGACACAGCAGTAGTATCAGTGTGAATATGCCTAAGATTTGGCCAAGGCAGTGTAGGGTGTGGATATATTTAGAGAAATAGCTAATCCATCCACTAAAGCCATTACATACATTTTCATAATTTTGTATTAAGTTACTAATTTCTCACCTTTAATCTACCACTATTGATATGTTTGTACAGAACTATATATCATAGAAATTAGCTGATGGTTACCTAAGTGCATTTCTTCCTCAGGCCAGTCATTTTCTATTAACATTATATCCTGAGGAGGCTTTAACTGAATTTCCCAATACACTTAGCCATAACCTAAAAAATAAAAGTCAAAAGATACTGGCACGTTCTTAGAGTCCTTCTCAGACATTAACAGACCAGAATGTCTCCCAGAATGATGCTACTCAGGTTTGCAGGCTTGTTGGATTCCAAAAATAAGAGTGGTCTCAGCAACATATGACTTCACTCTTTCAAGCATCTGTTACAGTTGAGCTAAGAAACAATGTCATCTCTTGTTCTGAACCTCTTTGGAGATACCAATGCAGTATTATTTCCCTTACTGCATAACCTATCCATTCATTCCTTTACCCTCAGCTACCATTCTTCCTTCTCTCTATTTATACCCAAACTTTTTCACCTTTTAAAGAGTTGTAAGGTTTGGCCACTGTGCTGATTCAGATTGCCGTTGGTAATACTAGTTTAGCAAGTTCCTCCTGCACAGTCTATTCCTATTCATTTAGAGTAGGATTGTATCCCTTACCTTCATTTTAGCTAGCATAGATAACAATAACCAAGAGATTGTGTGTTTAACTTCTTTCTTTATATTTTGCATCTCCTTATGCATCCAGTGAGATAACTTTTTGGGAATTATCTCCATTAACTAATCACAGTAAAGAAGCAATTCCATGCTGTGGTTGACACTGTCTTCACTCAGGGATCAAAGGTTCATCATCCCACACCCTCTCTTCACTTCCTAAGCCATGTATTTCAGTGAGTCAGGGTCTTTCTAGAAAATCTTATTTTTGACACCAACTGTAAGGAGTTTTAGCCAACTGCAAAAAATAGCCACCTACAAATGTGGAGTACTCCACAAAATTGCTCATTTCTGACCCTAATTGCAAATTCAGGAGATCCTAAAATGACCTTCAGGTTTAATAATTTACTAGCATTCATGGAACTCACAGAAAGCTGTTATACTCATGATTATTGTTCATTGCAAGGAAAGAATACGGATTAAAGTCAGCCAAGGGAGAAAGTGCATAGGGCAGAGTCTAACAGAAGTAACAAATGAGGAACTTCTGTTGTCCTCTCTCTTTGGAGACATGGACATGTCACCCTTCTGGCGTCAATCTGTGATACCACACATGGAGTAATGCCAGCTGGGGATGCTCACCTGAGCCTTTGGTATCCAGAGCTTTTATTGGGACTCAAACACTTACTGCCAGTGTGGCTGACCTGTAATCTTTAATCCTAAAGTAGAGAGAAGCAATTGGGGGCCTTCTATGTAGAAAGTGGGGTCAGAAGGCCAAGAAAGGGAGTATGAGTATATATCCAAGTCACTTAGGAACTTTTATGCAGGTGCAAAAAAACTTATGTCAAAGTGGCCACAAGATTATTTAATAGACAGATGAATGAAAGTCCATGTTTACTGCTAGACACGAAAGCTTTGTGTGAAATCTTGAATTAATGGGGAGAGAGGGAGGGTAGCCTATACCTGTCTGTTCTTTTCCTGATCCCTTTCCCTCATTCCTGAACTGCAGTCTAACATTGTTAGACTGTCTCTGGTGCCCAAAGTCCATGGACAACAAAGACATTCCTATTAGGCGTGAAATTCCAAGGACCTAGAGATCACTCCCAGAAGCTGAGTGTAAAGACCAGACCTCTCCTCGGTCAAGGTTAAATTCTTTACCACACAATCTTTAAAGAGTAAACTGATTGAGCCATACAAAGATAGGTCGAAAGATTAAACATCTTTCCCGATATTATGTAACCCTCCAAAAATTTTTAAGATTTTTTTTTTTACATCTTAGATTTTAAGCTATTACTTCAAATGTGAAAGAGAAAGACCTCCACCTCTTCTGCAGCTATAGCTGGCCTTATATTCTGATTTTTAGGTTCTTACCTATTCTCTTTTGGTAATACGTTATAGATAATAGTGAGCACCTCAGCAGCAGATTATATTAACTTTATGCAGTGCTCTTTGCAAGCTTATTTTATATTTTGCTTGCTGTACAATGTTACCTAGCTATACTTTATGATGGTAGTTAGAACTTTAGCTCTCTGGACAAAATAATCTGGTTCTCACCTCGGTTGTTAGTTCTACTGCCCTGCTCTAACTAAAAATATGAAACCTCTTTCCTGCCTTTTTTTAAACAACTTCAGTACCAATAAATCTTTATTCATTGTATTTTCCCAAGAAAAGGAGAAGGGATAGGAAAAGAGTCAGCATGTGTGTTAAAAAAATGATTAGAAGATGGGAAAAGAAGTAGAGAATACAGCAAAATCAACCATCAAATAAACATACCCCAGTGGTGGGGTCACCGAAGCCCAAACGGGCTCAATCTCCTGCAGTTCAAGAATGAGGGGTTGGGATTAGGAAAATAACAGACAGGTACAGGCTACTCTCCCTCCCCATAAATTCAAGATTTCACACAAAGGTTTGGTGTCTAGCAGTAAACACAGAGTTTCATTTGTCTGTCTCCTATTAAACAATCTTGTGGCCACTTTGACATAAGTTTCTTGCATCTGTGTAAAAGTTCCTGAGTGCCTTGGATATAAATATTCATATTCTTTTACTTAGCCTCCTGAGCCCACTTTCTGCATGGAAGGCCCCCAGTTGCTTCTCTCTACTTTTGGATTAAAGATTAAGTAGATTTGGCCAGGCGTTGGGGCTCAGGTCTGTAATCCCAGCACTTTGGGAGGCCGAGGTGGGCCGATCACAAGGTCAGGAGTTCAAGACCAGCCTGGCCAACATGGTGAAACCCCATCTCTACTAAAAATAAAAAAAAACTAGCCAGGCGTGGTGGCAGGCACCTGTAATCCCAGCTACTCAGGACGCTGAGGCAGAGAATTGCTTGAACCCAGGAGGCGGAGGTTGCAGTGAGACAAGATGGCGCCATTGCACTCCAGCCTGGGCGACAGAATGAGACTCCGTCTCAAAACAAACAAACAAAAAAAAATGGTTAACTAGATTTGACCCATCCAAGATACAGCAGTGTCTTAAGTGTTTGGCATGAATCACATCAAGAAATGGTCTTGACTCAGGAGGTTGGGAACAAGGGATGAAGGGCTCCTAGTTTCTTCAGGATTTTTGCATAAATCATTTAAGAGTTGTAGAAATAACGCAAGAATTAAATGTGTGTATGTGAGTATGTAAGTTTTCTCTTGGGGAGGAGGGGATGGAAAAGAGGGTAGTATACAAGTTTTTAGAATGTATTTATTTATTTATTTTTAGAGACAGAGTCTCACTGTGTCACCCTGGCTGGAATGCAGTTACACAATCATAGCTCACTGCAGCCTCAAACTCTTGGGCTTCTTTCCTATCTTTCCTGTCTTTCTCATAATGCATCTTTCAACTACCAAGTTGTATATAGAAATTTTACTTTTTTTAAAATGCAGTGCATGCTTTTTTTTTTTTTAGAGAATGAATCTGATTCTGACCATCCATGCCTGTCCTCAGTCTTATTTTTTTTTATTTTTCCATAAGTTATTGGGGTACAGGTGGTATTTGCTTACATGAGTAAGTTCTTTAGTGGTGATTTGTGAGATCCTGGTGCACCCTTCACCGAGAGGTATACACTGCACCATATTTGTTGTCTTACCCCTCACCCCCCACACTCTTTCCCATAAATTCCCATAAGTCCCCAAAGTTCATTGTGTCATTCCTATGCCTTTGCGTCCTCATAGCTTAGCTCCCACATATCAGTGAAAACATACGATGTTTGGTTTTCCATTTCTGAGTTACTTCACTTAGAATAATAGTCTGTAATCTCATCCAGGTCATTGCAAGTGGTGTTAATTCATTACTTTTTATGGCTGAGTAATATACCATCATATATATATAAAATAGTTTCTTTATCCACTCATTGATTGATGGGCATTTGGGTTGGTTCCACGATTTTGCAATTATGAATTATGCTGCTATAAACATGTGTGTGCAAGTGTCTTTTTTGAATAATGACTTCTTTTCCTCTGGGTAGATACCCAGTAGTGGGATTGCTGGATCAAATGGTAGTTCTACTTTTAGTTCTTTAAGGAATCTCCACAGTTTTCCTTAGTGGTTTCACTAGTTTACATTCCCACCAGCAGTGTAGAAGTGTTCCCTGTTTACCGCATCCATGCCAACATCTACTGTTTTTTGATTATTTGATTATGGCCATTCTTGCAGGAGTAAGGTGGTATTGTATTGCAGTTTTGATTTGCATTTCCCTGATCATTAGTGATGTTGAACATTTTTTCATATGTTTGTTGGCCGTTTGTATATCTTATTTTGAGAATTGTCTGTTCATGTCATTAGCCCACTTTTTGATGGGATTGTTTTTTTTTTTTTTTCTTACTGATTTGTTTGAGTTCGTTGTAGATTCTGGATATTAGCCCTTTGTCAGATGAGTAGATTGTGAAGATTACAAAACACTGCTGAAAGCAATCATAGACGACACAAACAAATGTAAACATATCCCATGCTCACGGATTAGTAGAATCAATAATGTGAAAATGACCATACTGCCAAATGCAATTTTCAAATTCTATGCCATTCCCATCAAAATACCACCATCATTCTTCACAGAGTTAAGAAAAACAATTCTGAAATTCATATGGCACCAAAAAAGAGCCCGCATAGCCAAAGCAAGACTAAGCAAAAAGAACAAATCTGGAGGCATCACATTACGTGATTTCAAACTACACTATAAGGCCATAGTCACCAAAACAGCATGGTACTGGTATAAAAATAGGCACATAGATCAATGGAACAGAATAGAGAACCTAGAAATAAAATCAAAAACTTAGAGCCAACTGATCTTCGACAAAGCAAACAAAAACATAAAGTAGGAAAAGGACACCCTTTTCAACAAAGGGCGCTGGGATAATTGGCTAGCCCTATGTAGGAGAATGAAACTTTATCCTCAACTCTCACCTTATACAAAAATCAACTCAAGATGAATTAAGGACTTAAACCTAAGACCTAAAACTATAAAAATTATAGAAGATAACATTGGAAAAACCCTTCTAGACATTGGCTTAGACAAGGATTTCATGACCAAAAACCCGAAAGCAATTGCAATAAAAACAAAGATAAATAGCTGGGACCTAATTTAAACTAAGGAGCTTTTGCATAGCAAAAGGAATAGTCAGCAGAGTGTATGTTTTTTTTTTTTTTGTCACTGTAACTATTTTTATTACATCACAATAATTAGGAGTAGTACAGTTCATGACAAAAATATTACAAATTTTAGATCATTTCACAGCACATACTCCTATAAACATTTAAAAGTTAATTTCAATTAAAAGAGTGGTCATTTTTAATGTTTCATATGACCAACATTGTAGCACTGTAGTTCCTTAGCTTATGGAGAATGCTATAACATATTTTATGCTTACTTCATGGCATATTGCTAAGACAATGTTTTACATATGATTGATTCTGAGATTGATGGAGGAAAATGCAAATCCAAAATCACGAAACAGTTTGATTGCCACCATCTTATATAATTACAAAAGTGCTTCATCTTAATTTTTTTTTCTTTCTCTTGCATACAGGAATGCTTTCAATTCATACTGCCAGCTCTACCTCATGCCATTGACCTTTTACGTGATGCCATTGTAAAAGTAAAGGAGGTGCATGATGAACTTGAAGATTTGCCTTCCCCACCTCCCCCTCTTTCCCCTCCTCCTACTACCAGCCCCCATAAACAGACAGAAGACAAAGGAGTTCAATGTGAGGAAGAGGAAGAAGAGAAGAAAGACAGTGGTGTTGCTTCAACAGAAGATAGTTCCTCATCACATATAACTGCAGCAGCCATTGCTGCCAAGGTAAGCCTGATGAGAGTTACTCAGAGGCCTAAAGGACCCACAGGTAAATGTACTGGTTTCATCTGTTTTGCATCGCATCCCTCCCTACATTTAATACTTCTTCAGAGAACCCTAAAAAAATAAGTGGGATGTCCATGACACTCCACTACTATGTTTCCTTCTTGATATAGATTCCTTGAAGTCACTGAAGTTAATTCTGAGTTCTGAGGCATTACTGATGAGCTGTTGCCTATTGAAGTAATAGCTACAATGATAAACAACGTGACATTTTAGAACTCTTTGGAGATGTCATTTTTGTGGACATATTAAATATATAATGTTTATATATTCAAAGTATCAAAATGTCACAAATTCTTAAAGGAACAGCAAACTGAAGGTAAAAGACCTTAGATGATTCAAGAAATGAGTTGGGAAAGATTAATAAAGATTTTTAAAGGGACAAAGCTTTTCAGCGATTGTTGAATTTTTCTTAACTAATAACTTATTCAAACATTGCTTGACACAAATTACCCTAGTGGTAAAGATAGGAAATGGATATATTTGCATTTCTACTTTAAGAAATATTATTAGGACAATATCAAAGTATTACAAATTCTCTTTGGGCAACTCCATGGGTAAATATACTACCATGAGTTACTTGAGTAAATTTAACTGTCTTAAAGTTATAGAACATGGTTTATTCTTCATACCTACTAAAGTCAACCTAGTATGCCTTAATATCTACAGAAAGTAGCATATCAATTCTGGAAATTATGATTTTTCATTAAGAGCATAAAGATTGAAAATTTAATTGCTATATGACATAATTATCAGATTTTATGGATTATCCAGTTATTTTGGCTACGAGCATTGTGAGGTTTTTTTTTTAATAATATATAGATTAGAATCATCGAGAAATCCTTTTGAAGTGTCCATTCAGTGATCCAGTGAGTGCTTACTAAAGGCTAGTAAGTATTTAAGTTTTGTGTGATTTTTTTTTTATGAAACCAATTGGTGAAACAGGCATTTTTAAATCATTATATGTTCCTTTTCCTTTACTCTGAATTAAAAGAGTAAGAAGTGCCATAAATTTCAATCTTAGGAGAGAAGCTTATGGCATTTAAAATCTAAGCTGATTCTGTCATTCTACATTTGGAAAATGTTAGCATTTCATTTTTCCATTTGTTTTTACCTTTTTTCCTTTTTAGTCATTTTGCTTGTATAGTTTCATGTTTTCCTGTCACTATATTCATAGTTGTTATGTGTTGTGCATTAGAAGCATCCATTCTACACCAGTCCTGCTGTTGTCATGGCACACGGTGAACAGCCCATCCCTGGTCTCATCAATTATTCCCATCATTCAACAGATGAACGGGTAAGACAAGAGGCTTTTGCATTAATGGTTTTCCAAATATGTATTCTACTTCCTCTCCTTGGAGATAGGCTGTAACATATGGAAGATGTGTTGTTTTATTCTGATGGATTTTCAGCCTTGCTTTCTTGTGAAAGTGTGAGTGCCATTGAGTATATCCATCAAGGAATTTAATAGAGTTTCTCCTGTGACTAAAGTACTCTGCTATCATTAAGATTCTGTCATTTGTGACAATGAACTTTTATCAAATGACTTGCAAGAAAGTCATTGCTCAGAAGTTATTTTTGTCTTACCAATTTCATCAGATATCTTTAAATAAATTGCCTGGCTTAAAATTACCTCTTAAGAGAATCACTTTGAGTCTTAAAATCTAGACAGATTGGTCAAGCAAATAGTTGATTTGTATTAACCTTCCTGTTTTGTCTTATGATTTTGCATCTCATTTTTTTTTCATTCATTGAGCTCTCATTACAACCATTGCAGAGTTGAATTTTGATATAAATTCTGTGATTCCTCATCATAAGTAAACTTTTTAGGTGCATATTTGTTTATTCAGTCAGTGGCTGAATGATAGCTTGCAAAAAAATGCCAGGTTGTAAAAGATTAAACTGATACATAAAAATCATTAAACAGTGATAATTTAGACATTGGATGAAAAAAAAACGATCTAAGTCCCTAATATGGATGTAAAATGAGAGGGGCAGAGAAGAAAAAGAAATAATAAAGTGAAATTTGGTTTTAAATACTTAGGAAGCAAAACACCCAAAATTAGGAGAGAAAAAAACCAACAACTTAGCATCCATAGTCTCTTAGAAGATACTACCAAGTGAAGACTTTTTAAAAATTTTAATTTTGTGGGGTACATAGTAGTGGATATATTTATGGGGCATGTGAGATATTTTGATACAGGCATACAATGGGTAATAATCACATCAGGGTAAATGGGTATCCATCACTTCAAGCATTCATCATTTCTTTGTGTTACAGACATTCCAATTGTATTCCCTAATTTATTCTAAAATGTACAACAAATTATTGCTGATTGTAATCACCCTGTTGTGCTATCTAGATCTTATCCATTGTATCTAACTATATTTTGGGGTACCCATTAACCATCCCTATTTCCCACTCCCCCTACCCACCCTCTCCACCCTCTGGTAACCATCATTCTACCATCTTTATCTCCGTGAGTTCAATTGTTTTAATTTTTAGCTCCCACAAATAAGTGAGAACATGCAAAGTTTGTCTTTTTGTGCCTGGCTTATTTCATTTAACAGTGTCTTCCAGTTCCATCCATGTTGTTGCAAATGACAGGATCTCATTCTTTTTTATAGCTGATCAGTACTCCATTGTATATATGTACCCCATTTTCTTTATTCATCTGCTGATGGACACTCAGGTTGATAATGCTGCAATACACATGGAAGTGCAGATATCTCTTCAATATACTGATTTCCTTTCTTTTGGATATACACCTAGTAGAGGCATTGCTGGATCATACGTAGTTCTGTCTTTAGTTTTTTGAAGAACCTCCATACTATTCTGCATAGTGGCTATGCCAATTTACATTCCCACCAATAGCGAACAAGTGTTCCCCTTTCTCCACATCCTCACCAGCATTCATTATTGCCTGTCTTTTGGATAAAAGCCGTATTAACTGGGAAGAGATGATATCTCATTATAGTTTTGATTTGCATTTATCTGATGATCAATAATGATGAGCACCTTTTCACATACTTGTTTACCATTTGTATGTCTTCCCTTGAGACACATCTATTCAGATCTTTTACCCATTTTTAAATTAGATTGTTTTATGTTTTTTCCTATAGAGTTGTTTATATAGTCTGGTTATTAATCCCTTCTCAGATGCATAGTTTGCAAATATTTTCTCCCATACCTTGGATTCTCTTCATTTTCTTGATTGTTTCCTTTGTTAGGCGAAGCTTTTTAACTTGATATGATCCCATTTGTTTACTTTTTCATTGGTTGCCTGTGTTTGTGGAGTATTACTCAAGAAATCTTTGCCCAGTCCAATGTCCTGGAGAGTTTTCCCAATGTTTCCTTTTAGTGGTTTCATAGTTTCAAGTCTTAGATTTAAGTATGTAAGTCTTTAATCCATTTTGATTTGATTTTTTATATATGGCAAGAGATAGGTGTCTAGTTTTAATAATCTGCATATGGATATCCAGTTTTCCCAGCACCATTTATTGAAGAGACTGTCCTTTCCCCAATGTATGTTCTTGACCCCTTTGTCAAAATGAGCTTACTGTACTTATATGGATTTGTTTCTAGGTTCTCTATTCTATTCCATTGGTCTATGTATCTGTTTTTATGCCAGTACCATGATGTATTAGCTACTATAGCTCTGTAGTATAATTTGAAGTCAGGTAGTGTGATTCTTCCAGTTTTGTTTTTATTTTTGCTTAGGATAGCTTTGGTTATTCTAGGTCTTTTGTGGTTCCATATAAATGTTATGATTATTTTTTCTGTTTCTGTGAAGGTATTTTGATAGGGATTGCATTGAGTCCATAGATTGCTTTGGGAAGTATGGACATTTTAACGATATTGATTCTTCCAATCCATGAATACGGAATGTCTTTCCTTTTTGTGTGTGTCCACTTCAATTTCTTGCAAAAATGTTTTATACTTCATCATAGAAATCTTTTACTTCTTTGGTTAAATTTATTCCTATGTGTTTTCTTTGTAGCTATTGTAAATGGGATTACTTTCTTAATTTCTTTTTCATATTGTTCACTGTTGGCATATAGAAATGCTGCTAATTGGCCAGGCGTGGTGGCTTACACATGTAAGCACTTTGGGAGGCTGAGGTGGTTGGATCACCTAAGGTCAAGAGTTCGAGACCAGCCTAACCGACAAGGTGAAACCCCGTCTCTACTAAAAATACAAAAATTAGCCTGGTGTGGTGGCAGGCCCCTGTAGTCCCAGCTACTCAGGAGGCTGAGACAGGAGAATTGCTTGAACCTGGGAGGTGGAGGTTGCAGTGAGCTAAGATCGTGCCACTGCACTTCAGCCTGCGTGATGGAGCAAGACTCCATCTCAAAAAAAAAAAAAAAAGATATGCTACTAATTTTTGTTTGTTGATTTTGTATCCTGCCACTTTACTGAATTTGCTTATTAGTTCTAATGGTTTTTTGTTGGAGTCTTAGGTTTTTCCAAATATTGTATCATCAGCAAACCAGGATAATTTGATCTCTTCCTTTCCAATTTGGGTGCTGTTTATATCTTTCTGTTGTCTGACTGCTCTAGCTAGCACTTCCAATGCTATGTTGAATAACAGTGGTAAAAGTGAGCATCTTTGTCATGTTCCAGATCTTAGAGGAAATGCTTTCAGTTTTTCCCCATTCAGTATGATACTAGATGTGGGTCTGTTGCATATAGCTTTTATTATGTTGAGGAACGTTCCTTCTATACCCAGTTTTTTTAGGGTTTTTATCATGAAGCAATTGAATTTCGTCAAATGCTTTTTCAGCATCAAGTGAAGTGATCATACGGTTTTTGTCATTCATTCTGTAGATATGATGTATCACATTGATTGATTTGCCTATGTTGAACCATCCTTCCATCCCTGGGATGAATCGCACTTGGTCATGATGAATGATGTTTTTAATGTGTTTCTGAATTTGGTGTACTAGCATTTTGTTGAGGATTTTTACATCAATGTTAATCAGATATTGGCCTGTAGTTTTCTTTTTATGATGTGTCTTTGTCTGGTTTTAGTATCAGGGTAATACTGACCTTGTAGAATGAGTATAGAAGTATTCCTTCCTTCTCTATTTTTCAGAATAGTTTGAGTAGGATTGGTATCGGTTCTTCTTTAAATATTTTGTAGACTTCAGCAGTGAAGGTATTGGTTCTTTTCTTTGCTGGGAGACTTTTTATTATGGCTTCAATCTCATTACTTATTGCTGTATTCAGGTTTTGGATTTCTTCATGGTTCAATCTTGGTAGGTTGTATGCATCTAGGAATTTATCCACTACTTCTAGGTTTTCCAACTTATTGGCATATAGTTGCTCATAGTAGTCTGTAATGATACTTTGAATTTTTGTGGTATAATCATGATGTCTCCTTTTTCATCTCTGATTTTATTTATTTGGGTATTCTCTCTTTTCTTCTTTGGCTAAAGATTTGGCAATTTTGTTTATCTTTCTTAGAAAAACAACTTTTCATTTTGTTGATCTTTTGTACTGTTTTTTGTTTGTCTTAATTTCATTTATTGCTGCTCTGATCTTTATTTCTGTTCTTCTACTAATTTGGGCTTGATTTTCTCTAGCTTTTCTAGTTCTTTATCATGTGTCATTAGGTTGTTTATTTGTAGTTTTTCTACTTTTTTGATGTAGGTGCTTATTGGTATAAACTTTCCTCTTAGTACTGTTTTGCCTATCCCATAGGTTTTGGTGTTTTGTGTTTCCATATTCATTTGCTTCAAGACATTATTAATTTGCTTCTTAATGTCTTCAGTGACCCACTGGTCTTTCAGGAGCATATTGTTTAATTTCCGTATGTTTGTATCATTTCCAAAGTTTTTTTTATTGATTTCTAGTTTTATGCTGTTGTGGGTTAGATAAGATACATATGATTTCAGTTTTTTTAAAGACTTGTTTTGTGGCCTAACATATCGTCTGTCCTTGAGAATGATTCGTGTGCTGAGGAGAAGAATGTGTATTCTGCAGCCATTGGATGAAATATTCCATAAGTATCTATTAGATCTATTTGATCTGTAATAGAGATTAAGTCCAATGTTTCTTTTTTTTTTTTTTTTTTTAAGATAGAGTCTTGCTTTGTTGCCCAAGCTAGAGTACAGTGGGGCATTCTCAGCTCACTGCAACCTCTACCTCCAAGGTTCAAGCGATTCTCCTGCTTCAGCTTCCCGAGTAGCTGGGATTACAGGCACGCGCCACCGTGCCCAGCTAATTTTTGTGTTTAGTAGAGAGGGGGTTTCACCATGTTGGCCAGGCTGATCTCGAACTCCTGGACCTCAAGCGATCCGCCTCCCAAAGTGCTGGAATTACAGGCCTGAGCTACCACGCCCAGCCTCAATGTTTCTTTATTAATTTTCTGTCTGGAGAATCTGTCCAATGTTTAAAGTGGGGTGTTGAAGTCTCCAGCTATTGGCATATTAGGGTCTGTCTCTCTCTTTAGTTCTAATAATATAATAATATTTGTTTTATATGTCTGGATGCTCTGGTGTTGGTTGCATATATGTTTACAATTGTCATATCCTCTTGCTGAATTGATTCCTTTATCATTATAAAATGACCTTCCTTGTCTCTTTTTATAGTGTTTGTCTTAAAATCTATTTTTTCTGATCTAAGTATAGCTACTGCTACTCTTTTTGGGTTTCCACTTGCATGGTATATCTTTTTCCATCCCTTTATTCTCAGTCTGTGTGTGCTTTTTTTTTTTCTTTTTTTCTTTTTTGAGATGGAGTGTCACTCTTTCGCCCAGGCCGGACTGCAGTGGCGCTATCTTGGCTCACTGCAGTCTCTGCCTCCCGGGTTCACGCCATTCTCCTGCCTCAGCCTCCTGAGTAGCTGGGATTACAGGCGCCCGCCACCACGCCCGGCTAATTTTTTGTATTTTTAGTAGAGACGGGGTTTCACCGTGTTAGCCAAGATGGTCTCGATCTCCTGACCACATGATCCGCCCGCCTCGGCCTCCCAAAGTCCTGGGATTACAGGCGTGAGCCACCGCGCCCGGCCGTCTGTGTGTGTTTTTATAAGTGAAGTGTGTTTCTTGTGACCAACAGATTGTTAGGTCTTGTTTTCTAATCCATTCAGCCATTCTGTGTCTTTTGATTGGAGAGTTAAGTTCATTTACATTCAGTGTTATTATTGATAAGTAAGGACTTACTATTGCCATTTTATTATTTGTTTTGTTTTGTTTTTTTCTAGTTCTTTGTGGTCTTCTCTTTCTTCCTTCCTTCCTGTCTTTCTTTTTGTGAAAGTGTTTTTCTCTGGTTATATGTTTTAATTTCTTACTTTATATTTTTTGTGGAACTATTGTTAGTTTTTTGGTTTGAGGTTACCATGAGCCTTGCAAATACTATCTTATAACCCATTATTTTAAACCAATGACAACTTAACTTTGATTGCTAGGAGTTAAGAGCAAAGAGACAACTGATAAAAACTCTACACTTTAAATTCATCCCCCCAGTTTTAAACATTTTATTTTTTCTATCTATATTTTATAATAGTATGTCTCAAAAAGTTGTAGGTTTTTTTTTTTTTTTTTTGAGACAGGGTCTCACTGTGTTGCCCAGGCTGGAGTGTAATGGTATAATCACGGCTCAGTGTAGCCTTGGCCTCTTGGGCTAAATCAGTCCTCACATCTCAGTCTCCCAAGTAGCTGGGACTACAGGCACGCAACACCATGACCAACTAATTTTTGTATTTTTTGTAAAGACAGGGTTTCACTATTTTGCCCAGGCTTGTCTCAAACTCCTGGGCTCAAGCGATCCACCCACCTTGCCCTGTCTAGGTGCTAGATCACAGGCATGAGCTACCATGCCTATAGTTATTATTTTTTAGATCATCTCTTAGTTGTCCTACTCAAGATATGAGATGAGTAATTTATACATCACACTTAACAGTGTATAATATTCTGTGTTTGTCTGTGTATTTATTGTTACCAGAGAGTTTGGGGCCTTCAGATGATTTCTTATTTCTCTTTAATATTCTTTTATTTCAGAGTGAAGAACTTCCTTTAGCATTTCTTGTAAAATAGGTCTGGTGTTGATGAAACCCCTCAGCTTTTGTTTATCTGGGAAGGTCTTTATTTCTCCTTCATGTTTGAAGGACATTTTCACAGGATATAATTTTGTAGGATAAAAGTTTTTTTCCTTCAGCAGTTTAAAATTTGCCATTCTCTCCCAGCCTGTAAGGTTTCCACTGAGAAATCTGCTGCCAGACATATTGGACCTCCTTTATATGTTATCTGTTATTTTTCTCTTGATGCTTTTAGGATCCTTTCTTTATCCTTGATCTTTGGGAGCTTGATTATTAAGTGTCTTGAGGTGGTCTTCTTTGGGGTAAATCTGCTTAGTGTTCTGTAGCCTTCGTGTACTTGAATATTGATATCTTTCTCTATGTTTTGAAAGATCTTTGTTAATATCTCTTTGAATAACCTTTCTACCCTGATCTCAGTCTCTCTCTCTCTCTCTACCTTTTCTTTAAGGCCAATACCTCTTACTGCCCTTTGAGGCTATTTTCTAGATCCTATAGGTGTGCTTCATTATTTTTTATTCTTTTTTCTTTTGACTATTCTGACTGTATTTTCAAATAGCCTGTCTTCAAGCTTACTAATTTTTTTCTGCTTAATCAGTTATGCTGTTGAAAGACTCTGGTATATTCTTCAGTTTGTCAATTCAGTTTTCAGCTCCAGAATTTCTGCTTGATTGATTTTAATTATTTCAGTCTCTTAGTTAAATTTATCTGATATGATTCTGAGTTCATTCTCTGTGTTATCTTTCATTTTGTTGAGCTTCCTCAAAACAACTATTTCTAATTCTCTGTCTAAAAGGTCACATATCTCTGTTACTACAGACTTGGTCACTGGTGCCTTATTTAGTTCATTTAGCAAAGCCATGCTTTTGTGGATGGTCTTCATGCTTGTGGCTGTTCATCAGTATCTGAATATTTATTCTAATCTTTGAAGTCTAGGCTTGTTTGTACCCATCCTTCTTGGGAAGGCTTTCCAAATACTCAAAGGGAATTAAATGTTGTGATCTAAGTCTGGTCACTGAGGCCATATGTGCATTAGGGGGCACCCCAACTCTAGTAATGCTGTGAGTCTTGCAGAGGTACTCTGACTCTTATAGAGGTACTGCCGTGGTGGTCTTAAATAAGATCCAGGAGAATTCCCTAGATTACCAGGCAGAGTCTTGTTCTTTTCCCTTACTTTTCCCCAAACAAACTTAATCTCCCTCTTCATGCTGAACTGCCTGGAGTTGGGGAAGGGTTAATGGAAGCACTCTTGTGGCCACCACCACTGGTACTGTGTTGGGTCACTCCTAAAACCAGCCCAGTACTGGGTCTTGCCCAAGGCCTGTGGCAACTATTTTCTGGCTGCTGCTTGTGTTTACTGAAAGACCAAGGGATCTTTAGTCAGCAGGTGGGGAATCCTGCCAAGACCAGGTTTTTTTTTTTTTTTTTTTTTTTTTTTTTTTTTTTTCAGTGCAGCAGGTCCCCTTCTGGCCCAAGGTGGGTTTAGAAATGCCGTCCAAGAGCTAGGGCCTGGGATGGGAGGCTTTAGGAATCTTCTTGGTGTTTATTTTACCAGGTTGCAAGACAAAGTCCTCTTTACTTTTCCTTCTCCTTTCCTCAAGCAGAAGTCTCTCCCTATGGCCATTATCACTCTAGGCTCAGGGCAGCTACCGCTTGGCTGCCACTGATGTTTATTCAAGGCCCAAGGGCTTTTTAGTCACCACTGGTGAGTCCTGCGAGGCCTGTATCTCTCCCTTCAGGACAGTGAATGCCTTTCTGGCCCAAGGCAAGTCTAGACATGCCCTCCAGGAGCTAAGGTTAAGATTAGTACATCAAAAATTATTTGAGTGACCCATTTTTCAGTTCTCCCAAGGATTGTACACAACTAATACCATTCTAGATGCATAGGAGATAAGTTAATTATTAGGGTTTAATTCTTTGGAGGAACTAGTTGAGAATGATTGTAAAACTGTTCTAACTGGATGTTCTCATATAGCATCAGTGAAGACTTTCTCATTGATTAACTATTTATTAGCTGGTATTTAACAGTCCTTTGTAAATAGTAATTGGTCTTTTGACAGATGTTCAGTTTTATAAGTAGACTCACATGTTTATGTTTCCTGTGACAAATGACAGTTAACAACATATCAAAGAGTATAATGTTGTTCTTCAGACTGGGCATCTATCTATACAGTAGAATGAAAAGGAAGAAATAGGTAACAGAAAATAATGAAAAGAAGGCCTTGATGCTTCTGAAGAAGTTATGTTAACTTTGAATGCTTCTCTAGCACTAACTTTATTAATGAGTCCCACTGGTTCTGAATGACCTGGTGTGTTGTCAGTGTGTCAGAAGACCTCTATGTGAGAACAGTCATTTGGAATATCTATATATACTATTTGGCTTACTTTTACAAGTTTTACCTATGTAAAATTAATATTGAAAGGGAGCACCTGATTACCTATTAGAAAGAAAAATTACAATTTCCCTCAGCTGGTCACAATCTGAGGCATGTGAAGCAATGTGGAATAATGTTAAAATCTTGTATTTAGAGACGGAAAACCTGGATATAAGCCCTTACCTCACCACTTAATAATTCGGACAAGTTACTTAAAATTTAAGCTTCAGTTCTCATCTATAAAATGGAAATAATAATTATCCTGTATCTCACAACAGATTATTATTTTTAGTACAGGAGATGACATATATGAGGAAATTTTTATAAACTTTGTAAATTAAGAATTAAGTATTTGCAGAATTCTTTCAAGGTACCAAACACTATCCTCACTGCTCAGAATACAAATATAAACAGGTTGTTCCAGCCCATAAAAAGTTCACAGTCTAGGGCCTGGGTGCAGTTTCTCATGCCTGTAATACCAGCACTTTGGGAGGCTGAGGTGGGCAGATGTCTTAAACCCAGGAGTTTGAGACCAACCCGGGCAACATGGCAAAACCCCATCTCTACTGAAAAATAAAAAATTAGCCAGACGTTGTGGCACATGCCTGTAGTCCCAGCTACTTGGGAGGCTGAGGTGGAAGAATCACTTGAGCCCAGGAGGTTGAGGTTGCAGTGAGCTGTGATCATACTACTGCACTTCAACCCAGGTGACAGAGCAAGACTCTGTCTCAAAAAAAAAAAAAAAAAAAGAGTTCACAGCCTAGCTGAAGAGTTGCTTTTTTAAATTACTTCTTTACCTTCCTAACTCAGTTATCTACTTCTAGTAATCAAAAAGTGAAACTTGGTCAATGTACTGACTGTTCAGTAGTTACTAATGAGCTCATTGCTACTTATTGCAAAATTAATCAGCTTGCTATTTCAGGAGATAGAGACTTAAGAAATTCCTCTTGTAATTGACATTTGTTCGTTGTCTGTCCAGCAGTCATTTTCCATTCCCTCTTCCTAGCACTGTACCACATTTCCCAGTCATGTAGTTTGGGTGGAATTGATTAAACCTCCAGTGTAGGTTGTCTTAATACTGTATAATCAACATACCCATTTCACCTAGCCACAGTCATTAGTTAAAGGATCATGTAATTCAAAGCAGTCAGAGCCAGTGGATTTCATCTCTTATATTTTAATTTAACTACTGGGGGACACAGATTCTCTGTTTCCTGCTGAACATGAATGAGGAAATATACAACCCCAAGAATTACGTCTTGGGACCGTGAATGGAATGCCTGCTATGATGGAACTAGCATAAGAAACAATCCTGAGAAACAGAAGTTTAAAAGAGATACTGGGTCCCAGTAACATTTTGTGAACCACTCATTCAAGCCCTTCTTGAACTATACAGACTGCTTGACTTTTTGGTTACATGAGCCAATAAGCTAATAGAGATAACTGTTGTCCATAACTAAAAAGTATCTTAACTATTATAATATACCTGAATAAGTACTGTATCATCAAAGAAATAAGACATTTTCCTAATAATGACTAAAATGTATCAAATAGGAATCCCTGAAGTTTCATATTTCAGTAAAAAAACCTGATTCAAGAGGATAGAGGGTTGGAAAATGTGACTTAAAGGAGGAAGAGGATGAAAATAAATCCTGCTCCTCTGTATTTATAAAATAAATGAAGATATTTTCAGAGAGACTGGATCCAAATCTGAAGGTGACAACTTATGCTTTGCAGCCTCAAGGCAACTGATAGGTTCAAAACTCAAAGTAATAATATTAACAACAGGCAAAGAAAGAATTTAAGACAAAGAGGGAAGCTATCCTTGGAGATTTGTAATAGGAAATCTCATTTCACTGACAGAAATTAAATCTTCTGGAGAAATCCAAAACAATAATGATGCTCCCTAAGCTGTATTGTATGAAAGAACATCTACTGATTGCCCTGGGAAGAAAAAGAGTTGGTGACTTCTTCTTGGTAAATGATACGGAAAAAACAATATTTTTATCCATATCATTTGTATATATATTATATATATATGTGTGTGTGTGAATATATATATGTGTATATGTATATATATGTATATGTGTGTGTTTTTATATATATATAAAACAAACATGCTGTATGTTATGTTTATCAAACATGTACATATACATGTATACACCACCGCATGGTGGCTGGCACCTATAATCCCAGCTACTTGGGAGGCTGAGGCAGGAGAATCACTTAACATATATGTGTATACGTGTGTTTATGTATACGTATACATGTGTTTATATGTATACATGTATACGTATACATGTGTTTATGTGCACGTATACATGTGTTTATGTATACATATATATTAAAACTATATATATACAGTTTTATTGTTTCCTTTTATCCATGAGGATTTTGAGATATTAAAATAATTATATTAATTGAATACCAATCATTCTCTAAGCATTTTATATATATCAGCTCTTTACGTAAATCCTCATTTTGCTTGTAAGAAATCTGAAGCTCATGGTAGTTAAGAACATGGAACTACTTAGTGGCTGAACTGGTATTCAAGTCTAGGCAGTCTGATTCTAAGATGGGAATTCTTGACTACTCTGCTATAGCACCTTTCATAAAAGAAAAAGTAAAAGAAGACATTTTGGGAGGTGACAAACTAATTATAAACTCTCCTCAAAAATGAGAATTGGGGTCCAGGTGCGGTGGCTCACGCCTGTAATCCCAGCACTTTGGAAGGCTGAGGTGGGCGGATCACCTGAGGTCAGGAGTTTGAGTCCAGCCTAGCCAACATAGTGAAATCTCGTCTCTACTAAAAGTACAAAAATTAGCCAGGCGTGGTGGCGGGCACCTGTAATCCCAGCTACTCGGGAGGCTGAGGCAGGAGAATCACTTAAACCCCGGAGGCAGAGGTTACAGTGAGCAGAGATTGTGCCATTGCACTCTATCCTGGGTGACGAGAAACTCCATCTCAAAAAAAAAAAGAAAGAGAAAGAAATGGGATTTTTTACCATGGTTTGAAATACTTAAGTGATAAGATGCACTGCCCAATCTAAGAATTGTAAACAATCGAATGTCGAATGTGTTTACTCTGGAAGTTTACTGATCCAAGCAAAAAAGCTTTAAGCTATAAACATCTGTGGAGTAAGAAGAATATATAGATAAATCAATATAATGAAATACTTTGGAGAATACAGTATGATACATGTTAAAAGATAGTTTTATAAAGGTTGAGTTATAACACTTAGAAGTATAAAATAAATATGTGCCAAAGATTTTATTTAACTTATTAAATAATGAGAGAACTAGTAAGCTGTTACACCAATTCAAACAAGAATGGAAAGGACACAGACATATGTCAACAGTCATGAAGACTGGAATGAATTTATAAATAGAAAATTTGTGCAAGATATACAGGCCAATGAGTAGTTGCTCCTGATCAGGACTAAACTTATTTGCATTTCTATGGACAGGAATCATTACTTACATTATTATTAGTTTTCTTCAACTTGCAAAGTTGTAAAATCGTGTAAAACAATGAAAAGTACAGATAACTCAGAAGGATATACAAGTCAGGGCATTCTAGTAATCTTAGTAATCGTGAAGATAATTTTTTTTTCCAGACAGGAGCTTGCTGTCACCCATGTCGGAGTGCAGTGGCACAATCACAGCTTACTGCAGCCTCTACCTTCTAGGCTCAAACAATTATCCTGCTTCAGCTGCCCAAGTAGCTGGGGACTACAGGCACACAGCACCATGCCCAGCTAATTTTTGTATTTTTTGTAAAGACAGGGTTTCATCATGTTGCCCAGGCTAGTCTCAAACTCCTGGATTCAAGCAATCCACCCTCCTCAACCTCCCAAAGTGTTAGCATTACAGGCATGAGCCACAGAGCCTGGCCTCTAAGATAGTTTTTATTTACCACAAAAAAATGTGTTTGATCTCATTAGGTTTGGGCTGATTCGTTACATAACTGGAGCAATTTTTTTTTTTTTTTGAGACTGAGTCTCCTTCTGTCGCCAGGCTGGAGCGCAGTGGCACAATCTCAGCTCACTGCAACCTCCACTTCCCGGGTTCAAGTGATTCCTCTGCCTCAGCCTCCCAAGTAGTGGGATTACAGGCATGTGCCACCACACCCAGCTAATTTTTGTATTTTTAGTACAGACAGGGTTTCACCATGTTGGCCAGGATGGTTTCCATCTCTTGACCTTGTGATCCGGCTGCTTCGGCCTCCCAAAGTGCTGGATTACAGGCATGAGCCACCGCACCTGGCCGCAAGATTATTAATTAACCAGATATCCTCCTTAAGTTTGTTTTACAAATAAGAAGACCACAAAATTAATTTTTGTCTGGAAATTTTCTTAGGGAATCTCAGATTCTATTAGGTTGTTAAAAAAGTAATTGCGGTTTTTGCCATTACTTAATACTTTTAAAGGTCTCTATTTTTGCCAACCCAAGATTAGTAAACTATGCCCAAGAAACTTCACCATCATCATCATTTTGGTAAGTTCCTCTCTTCTCCAGGTCACCAAAATTTTATTCCCACATGTAAGTGATCTTCCTTACCACATAAAAGGCTGAAACCTTCTGCTCCAGGTACTAGGTTGGTTTCTCTGGGAGGGCATTGTCACCATTGGCTTCAGGAGTACAGCCAATATTTTTTTCTTCAAAGTGGTAGTGATATTTGATTAGATGACCATCATTCTCAAATATATCTCCAGGTAAGGCCTTGGTTGCACAATCAGTTTGTACAATTATATCCTGTTTAAAAGGAAGACATTCTTATTAGGATTGCAAATAACTATACTGTCAAGAAAAGTTAGGAAATTACTAAGAGTTTCTGAATTTGGAGGAAGTCAGAATCAAATATTATTTTGAAATGTTTCATATTAGTTTAAGAAATCAGGGTCTACTAAATTGTGTGGGTTACATATAGCTTAAAAAGAAGAAAAAGAGCTTCCTCATGTATCCAGAAAATAGAACATTTAAAACAACCAGTGTCAATACTACTCCAAACAAATAGGAAAAGAAATTTCCTTCTGTATTCCTTTTTCATTCTGTGTTGATTCAGTCCTGTGATAATTAATTATTATTCAAATAAGCCTTGGCTTAGCAGTCTGCTTTCATGAAACTTTCTGCTTCTGGCCTGAGAGAGTTTTAGAAATTCTAACTCAGTCCACTGTTTAGGTCCAAAAGTTGTCCAAGCAGAAGTCTACTCATGAGTCTATTCTTTCAAGTATTAGTACTTTGAAGTATTTGGTACAATTCTTTCCATGAAGCTTTTGAAACTATCTCTGTTGAACACACAAACTCTGGCCTATAGCTTAATAAGCATAATCTTCAGGTAAACATCAAAATTTGTTCATAGATGACAGACTATTGTTAATTGTAACCAATAATATCAAAATGCAAGAGGTTAAAATTCTTTCCACTGGGGGATAACTATTTCAAAAGAGTTTTGATCAGTATCCCCTTAAACTAAAAACTCTTGCAAATATGGTCAAATGATTTTTGACCAGGGAACCAAGACCATTCAGTGGGGAAGACAGTCTTTTCAAAAAATGGTCCTGGGAAAACTGGATATTCACATGCAAAAGAATTAATTTGAACTTTTATCTAACACCATATACAAAAATTAATTCAAAATGGATCAGAGACCTAAAGCTAAGACCCACAATACAACTCTTGGAGTCAAAACTTTATGACATTGGATTTGGCAGTGATTTTCTTGGACATGACACCAAAGGCACTGGCAACAACAGCAAAAAGTACACAAATTAGACTGCATGGGAATTTTAAATCTTTGCACATCCAAAGATTCTATGAACAGAGAAAAAGGCAGTCCACAGAATGGGAGAAAATATTTGCAAATTATATACCTGATAAGAGATTAATATCCAGAATATACAGAGAACTCCTAAAACTCAACAGAAAAACAACCTGATTCAAAAATGAGCAAAGATTGTTGTAGAAAAAAAACAGGTTCTTGTCACAAGACCAGAATAATTTAGGCATGTGGACACATTGTAGGGTGAGTAGGGCAGGATTTATTGGATGAAAAGGAAAAAAAAAGGGAAATTGGAACTCCTGGCAAAGCAAGAGAGAATCCTGCTAGCAGGTTTCCTGCCTCACAGATTTAATTGCAGGCCACCCCACACGCAAGCTGAAGACCCCAGGCTCCTCCCCTCTGCAAATGGTGTGGGATTCCAAACTTCCCGTAACTCCACCCCATCCTCCCCGTGCCAGTCAGAGATTCTCCAGGGATCCTCTGCCTTATCTGCCTCCTGCATCTATCATTCCCCCTCTGAAGACATACATTTAACTGCCGTTAAAATAAGGATAAGGATGAATACCAATCTTAACTGCTTCCTGCTGGTAAGGGGCACTGTTTTGGTAAACAGCAGTCACATCTCCTTCAGAGGCCTATCTAAGGGTCCCCAACAAAAGGGACCATCGGCCAAGCCTCCAGTTGCATGACCGTTTGGAGGTTGATGGCCTGAAGGTGACAAGAGAGAAACCAGGTTATTAGAAAACTTGTATCAAAATGAAACAAGGGGCAGGTGAGGACAGCTCAAAAATCTCGTGTCCTTTGACCAGTCTGTACAGGGAGAAGGGGGACCAAAAGCTTGACCGGTAAGAAAAACTTTTACCCTTTTGCTAGCATTTCAGACTTCTGGGTTCCTGTCCCCTGAGCTCAATCCTAAGCCAATCAGTTTAAGGTTTGGGAAATTAACTCTTCTCAGTTTGGAAGATGTATCCAAAGGGAGTGTCCCATAGTATGGAGACACAGTTACCTATCTGTGAAGAGAGGACAGGGAAGGAAAAAGGAAAAAAAAAAAAGAAGGCGTTTTGTTGTTGTTTTTTTTCAGAGGAGTCCCAGTGGTTCAGGATGCAATTGAAAGGGATACAGACTGAAGATTAATGACTACTCATGTAGAAAGAGGGGAGCAGGTGTCCCTGGTTCCTTTTTCTTCCTAGCATATACCCGAGGTATGTGAGGGAGGGAAAGTGAGGTGTTCCTCTTTCTTTCCTCCATCCTTGTATCCCAGTGACTGCAACAGGGTGCCACCCATAGGTTTTAAAGTGGCTTTCACCCATGTTAACAGGGGGAGCTAAGGGGTGGGAGGTATCAGCTTTTAACCACATATGCCCTATCTCCACTGCTGTCAGTAGCCTTGAATTCCCCAGACCCCATTTATGCGATGGATACTAGCATAACCTTTATTCATGAAACAAGAAGCTTGGCTTAACTGGCAGGAATCAGTCATGCTCACCTGCATTGTGCCTTTTAACTTCCATTACCGTCTGCCTCTGGATTCCTCAGATCTAGTGTTCTTTCCTAGGGCGTTGACCCATAGCTTGGAGTTGAGTTTGAGACAAAAATGTGTCTTGGGGTGGGGAGGAGTTGCATGGACTCCTTATCATAAGCTGAATGCTAAGGTGAAGCTGTGGAATTGAGTCCTCCTCCAACAAGGGAGAGAAAAGGATGTCTCATGACATGCCCAAATAACTGTTGGCTATATTCATGCTTGCTAAGATTTGGGTGCATGGTGCTTGGCTTTGGTTAGCTCCCTTGGTCTTACTTTCCCAAAAAGGAAACCTGGATGGGCATCCTATTTATTGCCATCACCTGGCAGGATTTGCAGGTTAATTGCTCAGAACTAGAATATTGATCCAGATTTCTACATCACCTGTCCCTTTTGTTCTTTCTGAGCTACAGCTGGAGATTGCTGGAACATGCAGGGTTAGTCTAAAATGTAGGTTACAACTTAAAAACAACTAGGAGTTTAGAATGTAATGACAAATGTATAAATTGTGAAACATAATTTCTCTCTCTCCAGTCCTTATTTTCATTAAAAAAAAAATCATGATAGGACTGAGTTGTTTGCAAAATAGACTTAGTCTTATATTTAGCCTGATTATTTGCATAAAGTACAGCAAGAATAACTATTTGTAAATAGGCCTTTTAGACTGGCTTTGATGGAACTCTATTCCACAAGGAATCTCAGATAAGACCTTTTAAAGTGAAGCCCAGCCATGGGTTTGTAGCCTCAAATACCTGTGAGTTAGGTGATCCTCTCCTCTTAAGGTCCCAGGATAAACTTGGAGATCCTGGGCCTGTTAGAAAGAGACATTCTTTACTGACCACAGATCAGGAACCCTATACAGGGACTGGGTAGACAAGGGTATGAGGCCAGTTTTCTCAATTGGCTTTTATGAGCTCTGCAAGTCAAGCTTGACTCCTGAAAGGGAAACACACCCTTCCAGTCAAAGCCTTGGTAAAAAAAAAAAAAACTTGTTTCTCCAATTGCATCCTGTTGCAAAAGAAAATGGACTTTTATTGCACTGATCCAAACAACTATATTGCCAGAAGTTAAGAATACTCACAGATACTTTCCAAATTCTAGAGAAACCAGGCAGAGAGAAACACACGTTCTCCAAATTTTGTTCACAGTATACCTTACTTGATTATTAAGGGCTGTAAATAGTTCAAAATCAGTTTCCATGAATCTGAAAAATAAAACAAGGATCAGCAATATTCCAAAAAACTCAAAAAGATTGCTTCAGTTTTCTGCATTTAGTCCATTTAGTTAAGTCTTTGTGTTGTTGTTTACTTGTTTGTTTTGAGACAGAGTTTTGCTCTTCTCACCCAAGCTGGAGTGCAATGGCATGATCTTGGCTCACTGCAACCTCCACCTCCCAAGTTCAAGTGATTCTCCCGCCTCAGCCTCCCAAGTACCTGAGATTACAGGTGCCTGCCACCACACCCAGCTAATTTTTGTATTTTTAGTAGAGACAGTGTTTCAGCAGGTTGGCCAGGCTGGTCTCAAACTCCATACCTCAGGTGATCCACACACCTCAGCTTCCCAAAGTGCTGGGATTACAGGCGTGAGCCACCACGCCTGGCCCCATTTAGTTAACTTTTGTGTTGCTTAATATTGATGAACATTTTATTTCTTTATGAGTCCTGTACGTTTTTCCTTTATTCCAATGTCACTATCTCCAAAGTTATTAGAAACCTGCATTTGAGAGCACCTGTTAGAGTCCTATAGGTGATTATAAACCATCTTTTGAAAAGGATCAAAACAAAACAAAAATTGTCTGAATAACAAAATGTCCAGGGTAGTTACAGTTAGAATCACCATTGACAGAGAAGTTTGGTTATCTTTGTGGTTTATAATAACTTGACATAACAACCTTAATTATGATTGATAGCATATACTTTAGACATTAGAATTTTTGAAATTTCCTACAATTTTGGGACATATATTAGTATTATTCCCCAAAATATATCCTAAAGTAGATTAAACACCGTTTGGCAATCCCATGTAACTAAATATGCCAAATAATCCTGTTTACTTCTTTTCTAGATGCCCCAGGGGACCTCTGTAGCACTCAAAAAGCCAGGTATCAGGAAAAACAATTTTGAAACTGAAGTTTGATTTTGGGAAGCCTATTAAATATATTAGAGGTTTAAAACAACTATTGTTATGAAATAGAATTCCAGATTACCATGAATTATTTATTTTGCCAAAATGATGACTCAGATACTTTAAAAAAGCAAAAACTTATTATGACCCTTTACAAATTTTGCAAAAGAGCAGATTAGTGCCTTAAGAGTATCTTGTGCTTTCATTTCAATGCTCAGTTCACTGAAAAACCATATAATACCTTTTTGAATTTAGTCAATATGTTTACACATGGAATTTTTTTCAAGATTTTTACAGTCCTTCTACCACTTGTTTGAACTTTGAGCTTTATTTTATCTAATTCAAAACAACCCTTTAACACTAGGCAAGAATTTACATTTTTATGCCTTTTTTATAATCTTTTACTAAAAACACATCTTATTAGTCTTACATGCCTCACATGTAAATTTATTTCCAGTAGTTTGAGTTATATGTTATAATGGTAACTCCTTGAAATTTTTTACTTTAATGTAAAACCTGATAAGTTGTTTTCATTATGTGCTAGGTGCTGCCAAGGCTTAACTCCTTCCAGCTTAATTAAAGATGCGGTTAGTACTACATGTCCCTAGCCTTACCATTTATGGAGCAGGCAAGTCAAATAGTTCTTTAAACCCAAAAAGCAGTTTATAAACTTAAAACATTTAGCAAACCTAGCACCTGACCTGCATAGTTTAGTCCACCTGTTTATATTTTAATGACATCTGCTTTTTACCAATATTCTTTAAGGGTTGTTTTTATTTCTCAAAGATTAAAGTCACATGAACTGAAAGGCACCACAACTTTTATCATCCCTTTAAAAATTTTTTTGATCCAAGCACTATCTTCCTTTAAGCCAGTTAATTAGAGCTCTTTTTATAGGCATCACACACACAACACATATATAACTAAACAGACAGGCAAAAGAAAACCCAGTCACCATAAGATCTTTTGCTTACCAATCTCCTAATTGGATTATTGGATATAGCCCTTTAAGAGACAGGGCTAGGAAAACATGCAGCTTCTAAAACCTAATAAACAGGCATAGATGGGGCAAAAACAGATTTTCAGAGGGATCTATCCACTTTTAATTCTTGGGGTTCCATGAAGAAAATAGAGGTCTTTCCCCTTCATGTGTGCATTGAGGGTGGCAAGACAAACGGAGAAAAATAATTCAGTCAACTGAGAAAAAAACCCTTTTTCCAGAAAAACAAGATCCAAGAAAAGAAAAACATAAAGGCCATTTAAATATACCTATAATTTGAATATCCACTTTTAATTAAGCCGAGCACTCTTTTTAAGAATTTCCTTTTAACTCCCTTACTACCCGACTTTAGCGATGCCAAGTGGCCAATATTTCTGGCTTTCAAACTTTACTAAAGACTCAGAGAAAGGAAAATCCAAGGCGGTTCATGGAGGGGAAGAGAATCAATAATTAGCAAAGGTCACACAAATATCAAACTGGAAAGGACTCATTGAATCCCAGGCCACCATTGTAAAATGGCAGAGGCTAGAACAAAACATTGCCACATGGTTACAGGCTTTGCTCCCAAGGACATAAAACAAGATGGAGGCCTGCAGCAAAGTTTGCTACTGACCATATGGAAAGTCATGCAAATCACACCAGATTGGTTACAGCTTAAGGCCAAAATAACAAATCCTTTTTCACAAGTAAAACTCTACAGAGAATATAAACAGTGATCCCCATTATTCCTGGTCCAGCAAAATCTCTTCCAAAAGGAAAAAAAGAAAAACAAACCCTCACTTAAAAATAAATTCCTGACCCTGTGGAGAAAAGGAAAAGACAGCTTAAATGCAGGGCTGTATTAACTGCTAATAGGGTGGAGAAAAGAAAAAGATGCCTGGGGAAGAACTTCGTATTCTTATGCAAATAAGTTCTTCCACCAGTGAGAAAAACTTAATCACTTTCCCACAGAGTGAAACCCCTTTCCCTGGGGAGGGGAAGGCTCCACAGATGCAATGCAGAGAGCATTGGCCAGCCTGCCATTAGGCACCCTTGGGCCATGCATCCCAGCCCTGGCAGGGAGAGGAGTGCAGGAGCTGCCATTCTGTGGTCCATCTTGCGCATGCCTGCAGCTGTTGGGATGAGGTGGTGCACAGTTTCCTCTACCCTCCAAAGAGGTCTGAGGAGAAAGAGACATAGAAGTGAAAGGAAAAAAGATTTTTAGACTTGCTTGGTACTTACCTTTTCTCAAGCCCCATGTTGGGCGCCAAAAATGTTGTAGAAAAAAAACACGTTCTTGTTACACAACAGGGATAATTTAGTTGCATGGACACATTATAGGATGAGTAGAACGGGATTTATTGTGTGAAAAAAAAAGGGAAACAGGAAACCTCAGCAAAGTGAGAGAGATTCCTGCTAGCAGGTTTCCCGCCTCACAGATTGAATTGCAGGCCACCACACATGCGAGCTGAAGAGCCCAGGCTCCTCCCCACTGCAAATGGTGCGAACTTCTAAACTTCCCATAGCTCCACCCCATCCTCCCAGTGTGCAGGCCAGTTGGAGATTCTCCAGGGAACCTCCACCTTATCTACCTCCTGCATCTATCAGTATGAGGATACAAAGGCATAAGAATTATACAGTGGACTTTGGGGACTGGGGGAAGAAAGTGTGGGAGGGGGTTGAGTGATAAAAGACTACACACTGTGTACAATGTACACTGCTCAGGTGATGGGTACACCGGAATCTCAGAAATCACTACTAAAGAAAGTATTCATGTAATCAAACACCACCTGCTTCCCCCAAAAAACCTATTGAAATTAAAAATAAATAAATAAAAACAAAAGTGAGCAAAAGATTCGAATAGACATTTCTCAAAGAAGATTTGTAAACGGCAAATCTTGAATACCACAGTTTTAAAAAGGTAAAAGAAAGCAGTGTGGACAGGGAGAGCATTAACAGTTCTCTGGGGACTTTATACAAAGCATACAATTTTTAATATGTTTACATTAATAAAATTTTCCCTATAGACATATAACCTAGGGAAGACTGGGCTTCTCTTTTGATATTGTAACTCTTTATCTGTGCTTAAAGAACAAACTTTTGTGATTTCTATTGGCTTTCTGGGAAATGTCAAAGATAGTTTTATTTCTTTTTCTTTTTTTCTGGGCCTGTGGACTTTGTAGATAAGTACAAAATAGTTTTACATTCCCTGAAATTTTTTTTTAATTTATTTTATGTTTGGGATCAAATTTTGAGTTATCAGAGGAAACTTAGACATGTAATTTAAATAGGACCATGGATACTTGAGAAATAATTTTTGATTGTCTAATCAAAATGATAATGAAATATTTTTTTTAAAAGCATGAAAGGTAATACAGTTGTTAAGAAGTGAGGAACTTTTGTTCTTTGGGGTTTTTTCCTTAAATACCCAAATACGTAATAAAGTTAACATATAGGAGAGAAAATTAATCTGGTAAGACACAGAATCTCTGCTATCTAGGCAGATGATGTAGATCCTAGGTAAAGGCATTAATCACCAAACCAGCCAAGAAAGCCATCAAAATTAAGTGAACTTTGTTGATATGTTAACACATTTATTTTTTCTTTTTTTGACACAGAGTCTCACTCTTTTTGCCCAGGCTGGAGTGCAGGACACAATCTCGGCTCGCTGCAAACTCCACCTCCGGGGTTCAAGTGATTCTCCTGCCTCAGCCTCCTGAGTAGCTGGGATTACAAGCACGCACTACCACACCTGGCAGATTTTTGTATTATTAGTAGAGACGGGGTTTCATATGTTGGCCAGGCTGGTCTCGAACTCCTGACCTCATGATCTGACCACCTGGGCCTCCCAAAGTGCTCGGATTACAGACGTGAGCCACTGTGCCCAGCTGAGAAAATATATTCTTAAGTGAACCAGTTTTATAAGTATATTATAACTGTTAGTATTTTCATAGATAAAAAACTAGTCTGCTACTCTAAATGCCATTTTAAGAAATCCTGTGAGACTTATTGGTGACTCTTCTAGATTCACTTGGCATTATAAATTCCCAGGGAACAACTTGGTCTAATCAACTATCATCTATCATCTTTCACCTTAATTATTTCAGTGGCTGGTCTCATCATTTCCACCCTTGCCTCCCTTCAATTCAGTCTTCAACCCATAGCCAGAGTCGACTTTTTAAAATAAAGTAAATAATGTCACTTCTCTACTTGAACCCTTCAATGGATTCTTATCACATTCATTGTTACCAAAACTCCTTGACATGTTCTGCTAAATTCTGTATAATCTGGCTCCTCCCTGATTTCTAGGCTCTTCTCTTACCATTTCTCTCTTGTGCTTTATTGCTTACTAAGCTCCATATAGCTTTTTCTTTCCTCAGGGAATTTGCTGTCCCCATTACTTAAAATGTTCTTAAACCTACTCTTTACCTGGCTAACTCCTGTGCATTCTTTCTGTTCTGGTTTATCTCTTTCTCACAGAAGGAATTCTGTGATCCACACTGCCCACCTAAATTATGCCTGCAGTTATTCTCTATCATTGCACCTTGTTATTTTCCTTTATAGCACTTATAGTTACAATTATATACTTATTCATGTGTTTACTTAATTTATCTCTAGAACTGTAGGTGGGAAGATCCATGAGGACATGAGTCACATCTCTTTTATTCATATGGTCTATCCAGCACCTAGCACAGGTTGGCACATAGTATGGACTATATAAATTTTGGTAAATATATCCCATGAAAACATATGATGCATCATTCGTCTTGATGGAATCAATGTCTATTAATTAAATTCTTAAGACTGACATTTTAAAAAGGGATATATTTCGCCATACCCATGATGTATAAGAATTGTTCCATGGCCAGGCACAGTGGCTTACACCTGTAATCTCAGCCACTCGGGAGGCTGAGGTGGAGGGATTGCTTGAGGCCAAGAGTTCAAGACCAGCCTGGGCAACATAGTGAAACCCTGTCTCTACAAAAAGTAAATTTAGCTGGATGTGGTGGTGTGCACCTGTTGTCCTAGCTATTTGGGAGGCTGAGGTGGGAGAATTGTGTGAGCCCAGGAGTTTGAGACTACAGTGAGCTGTGATCACACCAATGGATCTCCAATCTGGATGACAGAGCAAGGCCTATCTCACAGAAAGGAAAAAAGAAACTTTCATGAAATAGACAAGTAGTCACCATATTCTGTTCCTATATTAAGTAAATATATTAAATGAATATAATAATGATAATAGAGAATCATTTTTGAATGCTAACCATAAAACATTCTTCTATGCATTTTATAAGTGCCATAAGAAATTAATACTGGCATGCAGATTTCAGCAAGAGTATACCTTTTTGTTTTCCTAAAAGGCAATTACACGGGAAACCAAATAATAATAAGGATGGATTACTACCATTGAGAGCAACAAAAATTCTGAAATTTTTAAAGCAATGAGAGAATAACTTTAGTAAGTATAAATATTCCTTGTAAAAAAAAACAAGCTTATATGAATATTTAAATTTTTAAGTTTATAAAAAAGATCTCTTGATAGTCATACTTCATATGTTTGCCATCTAAGTGGTTTTTCATTATAAATATGAATCATGAATTTTTGTAGATTTTTGTATTATGAATTTTTATCTAAATTTAGGTATTCACATTTTTTGTTAAATTTCATTTTGTTGGATTCAGCCCATCAGTCTACTAAGAGGTCTTTTTAAAATTTATATCAGCTGTCTAGTATATTACTTGTCTTTTGTAGTTTCTGTCACCAGCAAATATGTTAAGCATGCTTTCATTCAAGTCACTGATAAAACTTTTTTTTAGGCTAGGCCATTTCACATACTACCAGAAACCCTGCTGGTTGTAATTGCTTAACTAGCATATTTCTATTTCAACACATCAAAACCTACAGACCTACTTTCTCTATCGACAAGGCATTTATGCGTGACTTATCAAATACCTTAATGAACTCAAGATACATTGCATTGACAAGTTTTGGGAGGTTGTTTGTTTGTTTAGATGGGGTCTCACTCTATTGCTCAGGCAGGAGTGCAACAGCACAGTCACTGTATCCTCCACCTCCTGGGCTCAAGCAATCCTCCCGCCTCAGCCTCCTAAGTAGCTGGGAGCACAGGGACAGTTTTTTCTTTAATAAAACTTTGTAACATTTAATTATAACCTCTGAAGGATCAGTATTAGAAGCTCTGAGAAGACATGTGATATATATTTTCTGATATAACCCATTTAGGTATTATATGTAATCAATCTTTTTTGTTCTTGTTTTTGTTTTTCTTTCTAAGACAGAGTTTTTCTCTCTGGCTCAGGCTGGAGTGCAGTGGCACAATCTCACCTCACGCAACTTTCACCTCCTGGGTTCAAGCGATTCTCTTGCCTCAGCCTCCCAAGTAGTTGGGATTACAGGCACATGCAATCACACGCAGCTGATTTTTGTATTTTTAGTAGAGACAGGGTCTCACCATGTTAGCCAGGCTGGTCTCGAACTGGCTGGTCTCAAACTCCTGACCTCATGATCTGCCTGCCTTGACCTCCCAAAGTACTGGGATTATAGGTATGAGTCACTGCACCCAGCCTGTAATCAATCATTATTGTTAGTTCAGGTGCTGTATCACACACCTGGATCTCAAATAGGATTTATAGAAAATGCAGCCTACCTTAATGATCTCTAAAAAGAGAAGTTGGAAAGAAAGGGTGCACATTTTGGACTTGGCCACCAAGCTGGTCAAGGGATCCAAAAACCTCCACCATAGAGACTGATAAATTGTAGCTATTGAAGCTGTACTTCTTTGTACATAGGTGCTTTGGGAGACTCACTCTGATTATTGTAAATTTGCTCACTAGCTACCCAACATTAAATTCAAATAACAGAGAATTTCTATTGTACAGCCTTGCAACTTTGCTTTAAGTTTAAACTTTTCTTTAAAATAAAATTTTAAGTGGCAAAAATAATTATTAGAAGAGAAAATGTGTGCTCATTTTTGAATATTCTTGGCATCAAATATAAATTTGTATGTTTACTTTATTGGCATTCATACTGCCATTTCAAAGGACTGCAGCATTCAAAAGGGGAAACAATATTTTGACTGTGTATTCTGATTTTTATAATGTAACTCTCCATTTCTTCTTTTAAAAGTGCCTGCCCAACCAGTGAAATTAGCTTTAGGACAGGAAAAAAAAAAAAAAAAAAAAAAAAAGCATAGATAAAGAATCAGCACAGTTCCTAGGAAAATTATGTGTTCCCATTACAGTTTTCCTTAATGAGGAAAATTCTGTTATTTAATAATTCACAGTCAAAATTACATTGCATATCTAAAGAAAGTTTGAGATTATCTGGGACAAATTGTTTCCTCCATGCTATGAGTTGCATAAGATAGTAGAAATAGATTACTTCTCTAAAAGTAGGAATGTTATTTCTTTTGTGATTTGGCATTTTTCCTTCTCATTTGTTCTGATTTAACTCACTACAAATTCTACTTGCTCAAGGTAGATCCTCACTACTCCATGGCAAGCCTTTGGTTCATCTCTCTTACTGACAACCTTATATACATTGCCAAATTGCAATTTTCAGACCTTTGCTCTTGACTCAATTTCCCCTATTTTCTCCTCTTCTTATTATATTAAAGGCCATCAGAGCTAAATTATTTGTTCTTTCTATTTAAAACAATTTTCCTGAATTAATACTTTGCTCTATTCCTTCTATCTCAAAGAACTGCTTGTAATTCTCAGTTAGTGGCTGCTTCTACTTCCTTATTATTAGATATCATCTATGTACGAGACACTGTATTCATTCCTTGTTTCTCCCTAGTTGTTGAGTATGTTGGCCACTTATTTTCTGAAACAGTCCCCCACCATGTTTTCATTACTGAAATGTTTTAATTAGGCAAGAACACATGAGCACACACTCACTAAAAAAAGAAAATGAAACATAGATAAGATTAATATCCTTTTTGAACCACCCTCTCATTCATTTTTATTTACCCTCACACTCCCCCAAAAGTAAACATTTTTATCATTTTGAAGGGTATCCTTCAAAAGTTTTCTGTACTTTTCTGTAAAAACATAGGAAATAAAATCCTAAGGTTTTTGTTTGTTTGTTTGTTGTTGTTTTGTTTGTTTTGAGACGGAGTTTCACTCTTGTTGCCCAGGCTAGAGTGCAGTGGCACAGTCTTGGCTAACTGCAACCTCCCCCTCTCAGGATCAAGCGATTCTCCTGCCTCAGCCTACTGAGTAGCTGGCATTACAGGCACCTGCCACCATGCCCAGCTAATTTTTTGTATTTTTAGTAGAAACGGGATTTCATCATGTTGGTCAGGCTGGTCTCGAATTCCTGACCTCAGGTGATCCACCCACCTCGGCCTCCCAAAGTACAGTTTTTAAGTGGTGTGCGTGTGTTTAATTAAGAAAGGGATAAAGGGCCAGGCACAGTGGCTAACACCTGTAAACCCAGCACTTTGGGGGCCGAGGCAGGCAGATCACAAGGTCAGGACATCAAGACCATCCTGGCCAACATGGTGAAACCCCGTCTCTACTAAAATACAAAAATTAGCTGGGCATGGTGGTGCATGCCTGTAGTCCCAGCTACTCAGAAGACTGAAGCAGGGGAATCACTTGAACCTGGAAGGCGGAAGTTGCAGTAAGCCAAGATCGCACCACTGCACTCCAGCCTGGCAACAGAACAAAACTTCATCTCAAAAAAAAAAAAAAAAAGGAAGGGATAAAGAAACTTGCAAGCTGCTTCTAAAATTTATATAGATAGAATTGCAAAGGGCAAAAAAACAACCAAAATAGTGTTGAACAAGAAAAAGATCAAAGTGGGAAGACCTGCTCTACCAAATATCAAGATTTAGTATAATGATACGATTAAAGTAACTTCTTAATGGTGCCAGAATTAATATTTAGACCAATGGAACAGAATTTAAAGCCCAAAACACACCAACACACATATGGTCACTTATTGTATGATAATTTATAGTGCAGAATTATAGAGAAGTTATTTTTTCAATAAATGATGCTGGGACAACAGGCTATTTATATGAAAATAAATGAAATTGGACCCCCTATCTCACAGTATACAAAAATCAACTCCAGGTGTATTAGAGATCCAAACAGGAAGGAGGAAACTATAAAGCTTTTATAGATTTTTACAGAACAATGTTTTTATTATGCTGGATTAAGAAAGGATTTCTTTTTTAATTGAATTGAAGTAAAATTCACATAACATAAAATTCACCATTCTAATCATTTTAAAGTGTGTGATTCAGTGACTTTTACTACATTCACAGTGTTGTACAACTATTTTATCCAATTCCAGAAAATTTTATCACCACCGCTCCCAAAAAAACACCTTACTCATTAAACAGTCTATTCTCCATTCCCTCTGCCCCCAGCCCCTGACAACCATTAATTGGCTGTCTCTGTAGGTTTACTTATTTTGGACATAACATATAAATGCAATCATACAATATGTAACTCTTTATGTCTAGCTTCTATCACTAAATAAACAACATTTTCAAGGTTATCCATGTTGTAGCATGTATCAGTACTCCTTTTTATGGCTGCACAATATTCCATTGTAAGGTATACTGCATTTAGTTTATCCATTTATTAGCTGATGGTCATTTGGGTTGTGTGTACTTTTTGATTATTAAAATAATGGTGTTATGCACATTCATGTATGTTTTTATTTGAACACCTGTTTTCAGTTCTCTTGAATATACACCTAGGAGTGGAATTTGTTGTAATATGATAATTCTATGTTAACTTTTAAGGAAGTGCCAAACTATTATCCATAGAGCTGCATCATTTTACATACCCAACAGCAATGTATGAGGGTTCCAGTTTCTCTATATCCCTGCCAGCATTTGCTTTTTTTCTTCTTTTTTGCTTTTGAGACAGAGTCTCGCACTATCGCCCAGGCTGGTGTGCAGTGGCCCAATCTCGGCTCACTGCAACCTCAGCCTCCCGGGTTCAAGTGATTCTCCTGCCTCAGCCTCTCAAGTAGCTAGGATTACAGGTGCCCGGCACCACGCCTGACTAATTTTTTGTATTTTTAGTAGAGAAGGGGTTTCACTATGTTTGCCAGGCCGGTCTCAAACTCCTGACCTCATGATCTTCCAGCCTCGGCCCCCTAAAGTGCTGGGATTACAGGTGTGAGCCACTGCACCGGGCCTTCTTTTTTTCTTAATTCTTATCATCTGAATGGGTGTGAAATGGCATCTCATTGTGGTTTTGATTTGCATTTCCCTAATGACTAAGGATGCTGAACATCTCTTCATATACTTGTTGATGATTTGTGTAGCTTCTTTGGAAAAATGTTTATTCACACCTTTTGCCCATTTTCAAGCGGGTTGTTGGTCTTTTTATTATTCAGTTGTTAGAGTTCTTTACATATTATCTGGATGCTGGACTCTATCAGAGATATGATTTGCAAATATTTCCTCCCTTTCTGTATTTTGTCTTTTCACTGTCTTGATAATGTCCTTTGCACAAAAGTTTTTAAGTTTAATGAAGTCCAGTTAATCTAATTTTTCTGTTGTTGCTTGTACTTTTGGTGTCATATCTAAAAATCCATCACCAAAGTCGTGAAGATTTACCTTTATGTTTTCTTCTTAGAATTTGATAGTTGAGCTCTTATAATACAATTAGGTATTTGATCCATTTTGACTTAATTTTTGTGTATGGTGTAAGGCAAGGCTTCAACTTCATTCTTTTGCATATGGATATGCAGTTGTTCTAGCATAATTTATTGAAAGAATGTCCTTTCCAGTTAATTGCCTTGGCACTCTTGTCTCAAATCAATTAAGTATAAAGTTAGGAGTGCTTATTTCTGGACCCTCAATTCTATTCCATTAACCTATGTTTGCCTTATCCCAGTACCACACTGTTTTGATTACATAGCTTTGAAGTAAGTTTAGAAAGCAGGAATTAGCCTGACACGGTGGCTCACACCTGTAATCCCAGTATTTTGGGAGGCCGAGGTGGGCAGATCACTTGAGGTCAGGCGTTTGAGACCACTCTGGCCAAAATGGTGAAACCCCGTCCCTACTAAAAATACAAAAAAATTAGCTGGGCATAGTGGTGGGTGCCTGTAATCCCAGCTACTTGGGAGGCTGAGACAGGAGAATCACTTGAACCCAGGAGGCGGAGGTTGCAGTGAGCCAAGACGGTGCGATTGCACGCGAGCCTGGGCAACAAGAGCAAAACTCGGTCTCAAAAAAAAAAAAAAAAAGGAAGAAAGCAGGAATTATGAATCCTCTAACTTTCTTTGTCTTTTTCAAGATTGTTTTAGCTATTAGGTTCCTTGAGATTCCATATGAATTTCAGGATAGGTTTTTCTGTTTCTGCAAAACACACCAGTGGGATTTGACAGTGATTGCATTGAATCTGTAGATAGCTTTGGGCAGTATTACCATCTTAACAATATTAAGTATTGCATTCCATTAACACATATGTCTTTCTATTTATTTGCCTTTAATTTCTTTCAGCAATGTTTTGTAATTTTTGATATACAGGTTTTATAATTTCTTGGTTAAATTTACTCTGCATATTTTATTCTCTTTGATGCTATTGTAAATGGACTTGTTTTCTTAATTTTATTTTTGAACATTTCAGTATTGGTATATAGAAATACAACTGATTTTTGTGTGTTCTTCATGTATTCTACAACTTCGCTAAATTTGTTTATTAGCTCTACTTGTTCTTTTTGTGGATGTTTCAGGAATATGTATATATATAAAACCATGTCATCTGTGAATATAGTTCTACGTCCTTTCCAATTTGAAGCCTTTTATTTCTATTTCTTGCCGAATTTCCCTGGCTAGAACTTTGAGTACAATGTTAAGTAGAATTGGCCTGAGTAGACATCCTTTTTCCTGAATTTAGGGGAAGTTTTCAGTCTCATTATTAAGGAGGATGTTAGCTGTGGGTTTTGTCTAGATGCCTCTATCAAATTCAGGAAGTTGCCTTATATTCCTAGTTTTCCAAGTGTTTTATCCTGAAAGCATATTGCATCAAATGTTTGTTCTACATTAACGGAGATGATCATTTGTGAAGTTTTTTTCCCCTTCATTCTGTTAACATGGTGTATTTCACTGACTTCTTATCTTATGGTGAGCCACTCTTACATTTTTGGAATAAATCTCATTTGGTCTTGATGTATAATTGTTTTAGTATAATATTTGTTGTTTCCTAGTATTTTGTTAAGGATACTTGCATCTATATTTATAAAGGATATTAGCCTGTAGTTTTTTTGTTCTTATGATGTCATTGTCTTTAGTGTCAGGGTAATACTGGCCACTTAAAATGAGCTAGGAAATGTTCCCTCCTCATATTTTGTAGAAGAGTTGGTAAATAATTTTTGTTAATTCTTCTATAAACATTTAATAGAATTCCCTAGTGAGGCCATCTGGTCCTGGGCTTTTCCTTGTTGAAAGTATTTTTATGTACTGATTCAACCTTTTTAGTGGTTCTATTCAGATTTTCTATTTCTTCTTGAGTTGGTTTTGGTAGTGTCTGTGTTTCTAAATATTTATCTGTTTTATCTAGGTCATGCAACTTGTTGGCATACAGTTGTTCCTAGTATTTAATTATTATGAAATAATCATCTGGTAGTCATTTCATTTCGGTAAGCTCAACAGCAATGTTCCTACTTTCATTCCTGATTTTAGTAATTTGAATCTTTTTCTCTTTTTGTCAGCCTACTTAAAGATTTGTTCGTTTTGTTATTACTTTTATTTTTTTATTATACTTTAAGTTCTAGGGTACATGTGCACAACATGCAGGTTTGTTACATATGTATACATGTGCCATGTTGGTGTGCTGCACCCATTAACTCGTCATTTACATTAGGTATATATATCTCCTAATGCTATCCCTCCCCCCTCCTCCCACCCCACGACAGGCCATGGTATGTGATGTTCCCCTTCCTGTGTCCAAGTGTTCTCATTGTTCAGTTCCCACCTATGAGTGAGAACATGCGGTGTTTGGATTTTTGTCCCTGCAATAGTTTGCTGAGAATGATGGTTTCCATCTTCATCCATGTCCCTACAAAGGACATGAACTCATCCTTTTTTTATGGCTGCATAGTATTCCATGGTGTATATGTGCCACATTTTCTTAATCCAGTCTATCATTGATGGACATTTGGGTTGGTTCCAAGTCTTTGCTATTGTGAATAGTGCCACAGTAATTTTGTTGATACTTTTAAAGGACCAACTTTGATTTTGTTGATTCTTTCAATGTTTTTGTGTTCTCTATTTCATTTATCTCCACTATAATTCTTATTATTTTCTTTTGTTTGCTTTGGGTTTAGTTTATACTTTATTTTATAGTTTCTTAGGGTGGAAGATTAGTGTATTGATATGAAATCTTTCTTCTTTTTAAAAGTAGATGTTTACAGCTATAAGTTTCCCTCTGAACACTGTTTCTCTGCATCACTTGAATTTTCATATGTTATGTTTTCATTTTTATTTGTCTCAAATTATTTTCTTATTTCCTTTATGATTTTCTCTTTCACCATTGGTTATTTAAAAATGTGTTTATAGCAGCATGATTTATAGTCCTTTGGGTATACACCCAGTAATGGGATGGCTGGGTCAAATGGTATTTCCAGTTCTAGATCCCTGAGGAATCGCCACACTGACTTCCACAATGGTTGAACTAGTTTACAGTCCCACCAACAGTGTAAAAGTGTTCCTATTTCTCCACATCCTCTCCAGCACCTGTTGTTTCCTGACTTTTTAATGATCGCCATTCTAACTGGTGTGAGATGGTATCTCATTGTGGTTTTGATTTGCATTTCTCTGATGGCCAGTGATGATGAGCATTTTTTCATGTGTTTTTTGGCTGCATAAATGTCTTCTTTTGAGAAGTGTCTGTTCATGACCTTTGCCCACTTTTTGATGGGGTTGTTTGTTTTTTAGAAAATGTGGCACATATACACCATGGAATACTATGCAGCCATAAAAAATGATGAGTTCATGTCCTTTGTAGGGATATGGATGAAATTGGAAATCATCATTCTCAGTAAACTATCGCAAGAACAAAAAACCAAACACCGCATATTCTCACTCATAGGTGGGAATTGAACAATGAGATCACATGGACACAGGAAGGGGAATATCACACTCTGGGGACTGTTGTGGGGTGGGGGGAGGGGGGAGGGATAGCACTGGGAGATATACCTAATGCTAGATGACGAGATAGAGGGTGCAGCGCACCAGCATGGCACATGTATACATATGTAACTAACCTGCACAATGTGCACATGTACCCTAAAACTTAAAGTATAATAATAATAAAAAAAAAAGAAAAAAAAAGTGTTTAATTTCCACATACTTGTAAATTTCTCAAATTTCTTTCTTTCTTTTTTTTTTT
Organism: Homo sapiens; assembly: GCF_000001405.40. Lineage (NCBI taxonomy): Eukaryota > Metazoa > Chordata > Mammalia > Primates > Hominidae > Homo > Homo sapiens. Next base: position 66,957,199 of record NC_000014.9, read on the forward strand.
TTTTTTTTTTTTTTTGAGATGGGGTCTCGCTCTGTCTCCTAGGCTGAAGTGCAGTGGCACAATCTCGGCTCACTGAAACCTCCACCTCCTGAGTTCAAGCAATTCTCCTACCTCAGCCTCCCAGGTAGCTGGGATTACAGGCGTGTGTCACCACACCCAGTTAATTTTTGTATTTTTAGTAGAGATGGGGTTTTGCCGTGTTGACCAGGCTGGTCTTGAGCAGCTGACCTCAGGTGATCCACCCACCTCGGCCTCCCAAATTGTTGGGATTACAGGCATGAGCCACCGCACCTGGTCCCAAATTTCTTTCTGTTACTGATTTTTAATTTCCTTCCATTATGGTCAGAAAAAATACACTGTAAGGTTTCAATCTTTTTAAATTTTGTGAGACCTATTTTGTGGCCTAATATATATGGTATATCCTCATGTTCACTTCAGAAAAATGTGTATTCTGCTGGTATCAGATACAGTGTTCCTATATGGCTGCTAGGTCTAGTTGGTTTATAGTGTTGTTCAGGTCTTCTATTGAAGGGGTCCCCAAGCCCCAGGCCAAGGACTGATACCAGTCCATGACCTGTTAGGAAGCGGTCCGCACAGTGGGAGGTGAGCAGCAGCGGGCAAGCAAGCATTACTGCTGAGCTCTACCTCCTCTCAGATCAGTGGCAACATTAGATTCTCATAGGAGCATGAATGCAAGGGATCTAAGTTGTGTGCTCCTTATGAGAATTTAACTAATCCCTGATGATCTGAGGTGGAACAGTTTTATCCAAACCATCCCCACCAACCCCCAGTCCGTAGAAAAATTGTCTTCCATAAAAACACTCCTTGGTGCCCAAAACATTGAGGACCGCTGTTCTATTGTACTTGTTGATCTAACTAGTTATTCTAACTATTATTAAAAGTGGAATATTGCAGTCTCCAACTCTTATTTTTGAAGTTTTTCTCTCTTCATTATTATCAGTTTTTGCTTTATGTATTTTTTTAATAATTGTTATGTCTTCTTGATTAACTGACCTTTTTATCATTATATAATGTCTTTTTTGTCTCTTATAACAGTTTTGGCTTCAAAGTTGATTTTGTCTGATATTACTGTAGCTTCTCTAGCTGTCTTTTGGCTACAGCTCCCATAGAATATCTTTTTCCATTCCTTCACCTTCAATTTATTTGCGTCTTTGGATCTAATTTGAATCTCTTGTAGATAGCATAGACAATCATACTCCACTTAACAACAGAGATATGTTCTGAGAAATGCATTGTTCAGTGATTTTGTTTTTATGCAAATGTCACAGAGTGAGTATAATTACACAAACCTAGATGGTATAACCAACTACACACCTAAGCCAAATGGTATAGCCTGTTGTTCCTAGTCCTAGGCTGCAAACCTGTACAGCATGTTACTGTAATGAATACTGTAAGCAACTGTAACATAATGGTAAGTATTTGTGTTTTGAAACATATCTAAACATAGAAAAGGTACCAGAAAAATATAGTATTATAATATTATGGGACCACTGTTGTATGTGTCATCTGTTGTCTATCAAAATGCCATTATGCAATGCATGATTCTAGTTGGATTATAGTATTTTTAATTCATTCTGCCAGTTTCCATCTTTGAATTGGATAGTTTATGTACATTTAATGCAATTACTATAAAGAAGGGTTTCTTCCATTTTGCTATTTTTATATAATATCATTTTTGTTTTTTATCTCCTCTATTACTTCCTTTTTTCTGTATAGATATTTTCTGGTGTACCATTTTGATTCTCCTTGCTACTTTTACTAACTATTATTTAGTTATTGTGTTAGTGGTTTCCCTGGGAATTACAATTAACATCTTAGCTCATAACAATGTAGTTTGAATTAATACCAACTTAGTTTCAATATTATACAACAACTTCATACCTTGTCCACTACTTACGTTATTATTTTCATAAATTACCTATCAATATATTGTATGCCTGTCAACATAGATCTATAATCATTGCTTTATGTAGTTTTTTTAATTATATGGGGCAGAAAAGAGGATTCACAAACAAAAATATACGTGAGATACGACTGACCTTTGTGTTTACCTATGTAGAGTTCTGTATTTCTTCATGTCAGAGGATTCACAAACAAAAATATACGTGAGATACTGACCTTTGTGTTTACCTATGTAGAGTTCTGTATTTCTTCATGTCAGTCACAATTACTATCTAGTTTCTTTTTATTTCAGCCTGAAGACCTCCCTTTAGAATTTTTTTGTAGGGCAGATTTATGAGCAATGAACTCACTCAGTTTTTGTTTATCTGGGAATATTGTAATTTTTCTTCGTTTTTGAAGTTTAGTTTTATCAGATATAGAATTATTGGTTGACAGATTTTTCATCTTTCAACATTTTGACCATATCATTCCACTGCTTTCTGACTGTCATGGTTTCTTTTGAAAATCAGCTGTAAATCTTATTGAGGATCAGAATTCTCTCTTCATCTTTGTCACTTTCAACAATTTGATTATAATGTATCTTCGTGTCAGTCTTTTTTAGTTTATCCTGCTTGGGATTGTTGAACTTCTTGTGTGCATTCATGTCTTTCATCAAATTTGGGAAGTTTTTAGGCATTGTTTCCTCAAATAATCTCTTTGCTTCTTTCTCTCCTCTCCTTCTGGGACCACCATTAATCATATCTCAGTGTGTTTGATGGTATTCCACAGGTTGCTTAAGCCATGTTGTTATTTTCCTTTATTTAAGCCATGTTGTTATTTTCCTTTATTTTTTTTCTTTCTGATCCTCAGACTAGATAATGTTAATCACCTTATTTTCAGCTCACATCTGCTGTTGAGTCCCACTAGTGAATTTTTCATTTCCGTTGTAATTTTCGGTGTTAGAATTTGTATTTGGTTTCTTTTTATGATATTTGTCTTTTTATTGAGATTCCCAGTTGGTGAGGCATCATTCTTGTTCTTGCCTTTAGTTCTTTGTTTATAGTTTCCTTTAGCTCTTTCAGCTAAACTTTATTAAAATAATTAATTTAAAATCTTTGTCTAGTCAGCTCAGTGTCTGAGCTTTCTCAGAGACAGTTTCCGTTCATTTCTTTTTTCTTTTCTTTTTTTTTTTCCCTGTGTACAGGTTATACTTTCTTATTTCTTTGCATGCTTCATAATTTTTTGTTGAAAACTTGACATTTAAATATTATAAGTGGCAACTCTGGAAATTAGATTCTCCCCTCTCCCTGGGGCTTTTTGTTGCTGCTTTTTCAGCAGTAGTAGTTATTTGTTTGTTATTCATTTTTTGAAATACTTTTTTCAAGCTTGTATTTCTTTGTTGTGCATAACCTCTGATGTTTCTGTTGTTTGCTTAGTGGTCAGCTAGTGATTTGACAGGTATTTCCTTAAATACCTAGAACCAAAAAATTAATAATAAAAACAAAACAAACAAATCAGAGAAAATCTCCCAGTTTTTGCAGATGAGCTCTTTGTATATGTTAGGTCACACTTCAACACTCAGCCAGGCAATTTACAGCTCTTCATTAGTTTTCACTTCCTGCTGGTATAGAGTCTCAAATTTATCCACAAGTGAGAGAATAGAACCTTCTCAGGTCTTTTCTGAGGGTGTGCCCAGCCCTGGGCATAAACCTGACCTTTTAGAGTCCAAAGGATACATGGGAGCTTTTCAGAGTCCTTATGCCTTAAAGTACCTCATTCCATAACCCTCACTCCCAGGTTTTTCACTTTATCTATTGTTTGTCCTGTTTTTCCATGCCCAGATGACAGTGGCTAATACATTTGCCTTTAAATATTTGAACAAACATTACCCAATGAATAGCTGCCTCAACCCTGGGAATATTCTGAGTTAAGTGAAATAAAGGCAGGCCCTTTGAGTGTGTCCTTCAATAAGCCATAAGATATTTCAACACAAAAAAACCACAATTCTTTCAGAATAAGGTTTGTTTTCCTTCTGGTACTACAGACCTGTATTGGAAATGTGGACTGTTGTCTTCAAGGCCACCTTTTTTGTCTATTTTTCTTGATTACCCATTTACCTGGTTGTAAACATTTTATTCATTTTCAGAGTTCTGGTAAAGTTTATTCTGCCTGTTTTTGCCAATTTATTTTCTGCTTTAGTAGAGTGATGGAATTTTGGATTTCTCTACTCTGCTGTTTTCACTGATGTCACCCAGGAAGGATTCCTTTTAAGACACAAAAACCACTAACCATAAAGGAAAATATTGATATATTTAGCAACATTAAAATTAAAAGATTTCGTTCATCAATAGACATGATAAAGTAAGGTAAAAGACAAGCTACAGAGTAGGAATAGATATTCACACTAGATACAACTGCTAAAAGACTAGTTATCCAGAATAAATACTAAAATCTAACAATTTAATAAGAAAAGAACAACCAAATAAGGGAAAAAATGGGCAAGGATTTGAACGGGGACTTCACGAGAAAAAATCTAAATGACTGAGGAATGTATGAAAAAGTGCTCACTCTCACTAAGAATCAGAGAAAGGGAAAATAAAACCATAATGCAATATTGTTACACACCAACCAAATTTTTTTAAATGAATAATACCAACAATGCTGGGTGGAACTGAGTTGTAGAATAAGAGAAACTGTTACTATTCTTTGTGGACAGATGTATAGATTGGCTTAACCAACTTAGAAATTTTTTAAAGAAGGTATTCATACCCTATAACCAACCATTCTATCCCTGAATGTGTATATATATATATATATATATATATATATATATATATATATATATATACACATATCTCCCAGAAATTTACTCACATGGGTATCATAACACCCATGGGTTCACAGTGGCATTTTTCATAATGTCCTCAAAATGAAAACAATGCAGTTGTCTATCAACAGAGTAATCTATATTCACTGACTCCTTTTCCTTACCTCCAGTTTTTTTCTTGACCCCTTGTAATCAGGTTCTGTCTTCATCAAATAATGAAATTTTCTTTCAGGTAACTAATTACTACCATCCTGTTCTTCATAATCTAATTCTTCACCCTTTTTCTAGTATCTGTGTTGACATATTCTTCTATGTTCTTCATCTTTAGAATCTCATTTATTTCTGTAACTTCAACAACTGTATATCTGCAATAATTTCTAAGTCTGTATCTCCAGCATAGGCAGTTTTTGTTTTTTTTTTTAAGATTGGGGCAAAGATTTGTTCTAGACTATGTAATGAAATTGTAAATTTATGTTTACTGATATTAACTGGATCCACAATGGTAATTGAAAATTCTTTTGCCTTACCCATCATTTTCATTCATCAATGCATTTTTTGAGAATTTTACCACTCTCCTAAAGTCATCTTTATCACTTTTACTTCCCCTTATTCTCATCAATAAGGCCTCTCCTGCAAGCACCAAAAAAATAGTAGTAATAAATATCTGTGTCTTTTACCCACAATTTACTTTGCTTTATCATGCCTACTCAATTCCTCCATTTGTATCTACTCTTTTTACTTAACTGGTAATTTCTTTAATAACTGGATGTAATGGCTTCTTTTCAGCTCTCTCTCTCTATTCCTATTCTCTCCCATATTTGCTTTTTTTTAATCTTGCAACTTTCTTCTTTTTTCCATTGCCTTGATACTCACCCATCTCGATTTGCCTCTTTTTTCTCTAATAATTTCTTATGATAAGAACACCAAATAATTTATCTTCCAAACCAGAATGCTTTTGAAAATGAAAAGAGGTGCTGTTTGATAATTAAGCCAGCATAATAGGTATAATCCTAGATTGTTCAAGGAAAAATCAGATGTATGGTTACCCCATACATCCTTATCTTAGAGATCTTATCTCCCTTCAGTTTGTTTTCTTTTGTTAACTTTTAATATGAATGTTACCTCAAATTGTCAGCCATCGTCTTTTGTTCTTTCACATATTCTCTGCAGGTGATCTGACACATTTGAATGACTCAAATTACTACCTCCATTGATAATTCCCAAATTATATGTCCTAACTTTTTCCTGAGTTCCAGACTCATATACCTCATCAAATAGCTCCAGATTAGTAGCCCGAAAGTACCTAGCCACAAAATTTAAACTTATCTTCTCTCTCGAGTATCCTGATTTTTAATTTACATTGAGGCATATATACACACAGAGATATGTAGTGTATATATGCAGTTATGTGTATAAGTCTGGAGATATATATCACACACACAGAGACATTATTCGTGCAGTTGCTTCATTAGATATTGGACATAAAATAGTAGCAAAACAGTTCCATCATGACAGTGCATTCTCATATGGGAGACAGACATTGATCAAAGTATCACACGTATAAATGTTGTGATACTTTCTGTAAGTATGGTCATTGCTATGAAGGAGAGGGATGTGATGTCATATGAAGTATAAAATGGGTATTTGACCTTCTTTTAAATACATGGCCTTTTTAATTGGATAAGTGGCAACAAATAGCTCTTCAAAATTAGACTTTATTTCTTGGAAATATTTATGACAATTCAGTACTCAAATATGTTAGCAAATGGAGTCGTCTTGCTTCTCAAAATTCCTACTGCTTTTCATACTATTTATGACTATATTGTTTATAAACCATATAAAATTTCAAACACTGAAATGGTGGCAATATCTTTGGAATTAAGGATGTTGGTATAGAAACTAAATAAAGGAGCTTCTATAGAAATAGCATTAGTTTTGTGAGGCAGAAATGATGCATAATATTAGGAATACCTTGTAGTCACAAAGTCTGGCTGTTTCTTCTTTTCACATAGTAAGTGATATTTGTTGATTAAATGTTAATTGCTTGTCTTTTTATCATATGTTTCAAGTCTTGCGTGCAAAATTTGAAAGTCCTCATGTTCCCATTCTTAGAAGACGTATGCCCGTTACTGGTAGCCCAGAACATGAACTAAATTATGCAAGGCCTAAAGTAATAAATTTATAATCAACATATATTAATAATGTTAAAAATAATCTACAGTATTAGTCTTTATGTTTGTATATTTTTAGAATAATGATAATTACATTAGTCTTTACTATGTTGATAAGTATAATAATAACAGTAATAATAACCAACACATTAAATATTTACCACTTGAAAGTGCTAAATAATCTACACACATTATTTTACTTAACCCTTGCAGTATTCCAGTGAAGCAGATTCTATTGTTGTCCTCAATTTTCAGATAAAGGAAGTAGCAATTCAAAAGGTATATCCATCAGGATCCTAGCAGACGTCAGATAGCATGCTTAAATAGGTAATTGAGGAGAGTTCAATAAGAACCTATAGGATGTACAAAGGTTTGGACAGAATTTAGGGAAAACCACAAGACATCATGGAATGCCTGGGATTAGTAACAGTGGGAACCATTAATGCTTCTACCTAATGGGGCAAAGGGAAGGAGTGCTATTAGAATCTAGAGAAAGAGCTATAAGCCAGAAGGGCAGTCTGACATGAGCTATGATCTTGAGTTGAGTGACACAGCCAACCTTTGATGATCTGGTAGAGAGGGAGCTAGGAGAATAAATGCCAGATCTTACCCTATCCCAACTCAGTCTTCTGCCAGTGCCTTTCACTGACTGAACCCAGCTGGAAGCCAGGGCAGAAAATAATTTGTTGATGGTGTGCATACAGGTCAGCTTAGAGAAGAGAGGGTGAAAATGGTTGGAGACTGATCTGAAAAGGAAATGGAAAATATATAGGAATTAAATAGCTTGCTCAAGATTTCAAACTATTAAATGGCATAGCAAGTATATGAATGACCAATCCTTTATTCCTAACCACAATACTATACTGCCTCTCATATTAAAAAGTTTTATGAAATGGTACTTGCCAGGGAAAATACTTTAAATCTGAAAGTTTCTATTCTATCTCAAGTTGTTGGATGCATTTATACCTAACAGTAAGTGACACCAAATATGTCAGAGCTGAGCAGCAAAGAATGCTAAAACAAAGGGGGTCTTGATTCTACATGTTATTGACATTTTCAGAATATTAAACCATAGTTGTTCCCCTTGTTCAGATTCCAGACTCCATCATTTCTCGTGGTGTTCAGGTGCTCCCACGAGACACAGCCTCCCTCAGCACTACTCCTTCAGAATCGCCTCGTGCTCAGGCTACATCTCGCCTCTCTACAGCTTCCTGCCCAACACCAAAAGTAAGTATGGTTCCTTCGCATCTTACACCTGCTCTTCTATAGTAATCTGGGAAAACTAACCAATATTTCCTCCTGCTTGTCAAGGTTGGATTGCATGCAAGATTACACTGTGAAAAATGAATAAAGTGTAAGATAGTTCCCACCCATTGTGTCACAAATTGTCATATTAGGCCACTAGTAGGACAATACAGATTTCATTCAAAATGTCTTACTCCTACATCATAGCTAAGGGTATTACTTTCTGTAGCTCCTGTTTCTTTGTTGTAGATTTGTTATTTTTTAGTATACTTAACATTATAGATGTAAAGTTATTTGTTTATGCCGAGGATAAATGTACTTTTGGCCAGTAAACAGCAAGATTAACAAAATTGTGTCACCAAAGGGATTTCTTTAAACTTGTCCGGGCTGGGGTAGCTCCCTGCTCTAGTATCATTCCAAATTTTTTCAAACATTCATCTTGGAATGTTGCTGCCTAATATTTGCAAACAAATCTAAATTTATTAGAAAGAAAGTTTTAATGCCAACCTTTGGGAAGAGGGTAGAAGTTTCTTAGTCTTTTTTTTTATAATCTGTCACTGAATTGTATAGGGTGAGGAAAGGATGAGACACTTATATGCTGTTCACATCTTTGTATACATGATAAATTAACTAGCAGACATTATTACTGCTGTGACTACTTTCTCCTGGAATGCTCCTTGCCTGATTAAGTTAGTCATTTGTGCTTTCAAGTTCTCTATGTGATGGATGCAATATTGGTATCAAAAGATTAACAGTAACATTCCTTATTATTTAATAAGACATGATGTTAGACACTAAATTTGTTTTAGGATTCTGACAGTTAATTTTTCAAATTATAGTTTTTTCTCTGTCATCAAATTTAAGGACCTGTATAGCTGTCTTCCTCAATTCCATCTTTTCTATCAGTTTTGTGAATGTTATAATTTAATTTGACTAGAAGGGATCTCAGTTTCTGATGTGAATAGTGCAGTTTGTTTTACATTACTTGTTACAATCTTCTCAGCAATGTTTCCAGTGTTACTGTTGTATATCATTATTTTTAGATATATGTCAAAAAAACTGATATTAATTTTATCATTTAAAAAACTGAGGTCCTGAATCTTCAATAAAGATAAACTATAAGAACATTGTAGACATTAAATGTATGCCAGTGCCATTTGGGTGCCAGTAAGCTACATTTTCAAATGCATAAAAGCAAGGAATTCTTAAAACCTGAATTAGATGGAAGAATCTCATCTATATCTTTTATATTATTAAAACAAAGTAACTTACAGTTTGACTGCATTAAAATCCAGTTGTACCAGCTAAACTCACTTGTAAAGTCTAGAAAATATTTAAAACTAAAAGTTAAGTTCACTATAAGATGTTTTGTTCACTGAATATTAAGACCTAAAAGTTGGGAATTCAGAACTATTCAAGGCATAGTTGCTTTTCCTTAATAATATGCTGAAATCATAAATATTTTTTGAAAATATTTTATGCTAAATTTAATTATACATAGTAGTTCTTGAGTATTTTTATAACTTTGTAATTATATTTTAGTTACAAAGAGGATATTAAATAAAATTTGAAAAATCACTTGGTACTTCCAAATTCACCAAAGTAAAATTCTGAAAAATAATAATGTTAATATTCGTCAAATTAATTTGCTTATTGCAGAACTTTAGGAGAGCAAGTGGCTTGTCTTGATATTTTTTCCTTAGTTAACACTTAGATGTTCAAATTGACAGTGAATTCATAAAAGCATTATATCTTTTTCTAGGAATAAGATTATATTTCTTTTGAATAATTTTGATCAGCACTAGAATGTATACCTCAAAGATAAAGTTATCACTCTGGTGTAATTTTTAATATACACTTGAAATGCTGAATTAGAATATTAATATAATAAAAGAAACTAGTTTGAATGTTGATATTTTAAAAGGAGTTAGTCTATTCCAATTAGGCATCTGGAAATAACGTTTAAAAAATAAATTAAAGGACAGAAGGAAGTGAAATTTGTCTTTCTAGTAAGAAAGGTCTCATAAATCATAAGACTGCTTAAGAGAATCTAAACTAGGTGCTTTTATAAGTGCTTTAATATCAGTGACAAATATACTCCTTGTCTTCATGGAGTTTACAATTTAGTCATATATTACAGGTTGAGTATCCCTAATCCAAATGCTTGGGACCAGAAGTGTTTCAGATTTCAGATTTTTTCAGATTTTGGAATATTTGCAGATACTTAAACCAGTTGAACATCCCTAATCAGAAATCCAAAATACTCCAGTGAACATTTCCTTTGTGCTAAAAAAGTCTCAGATTTCAGATTTTCAGATAGGGATGCTCAACATGTAAAATAAACAGGTAGATAATAACTTTAATAATTATAATTTCATATTAATTTAATAATTATAATTTAAATACAATGCATGCTAAGAAGAAATGAAAATGTTATGGTAGTAGAAAATAATAGCAGGGGAACTTCATTTAGATAGGGTGAGTAGAGAAGACCTAACATTTCACCAGGGGCGTGAAGAATGAATGAAAACCAAATGTGAGCTTTTGTGCTATGTGGAGGTTTTAGGAATTATATTGATCAATAATGACCACTTTAAAGGCAGGTGTCACCAATCAAGAACTCTTACACTAAAACTTCATTAGTATGTGAATAGTCTAATTCAGTGATGTCAACAGCCAATTTCAAATATCTGTTCTTTTTTATTTAAAATAATGAATCTTTTTGCCTTTCCCCACTGAGTCAAATATCAAGACCATAGATTTTAGCACCGAGCTCTGTTTAATAAAAAATTAAAATTTATTTTAATTTTTTAGCATAAAAATTTGGGGCCGAGAAGTCCAAAAGCAATTTCGGGGTTTCAAATTTGAGATACTGGGTAGACAATAATGTTATTAACTATACCAAGGAATAAAAGAGAAGTACCAAGTCTTGAGGGTAAAAGAAAAGAGTTTAATGCATCTTGATTGGGAATGTGTTTAATCTGAGGCATATGTGAGACAACCAAGGAGTGATATCCAGCACAAAATTGGAAATACAATTTGAGTTTGAAATTCTTATTTTTACTGCATCTTGGTTATGATATTTATAACTTAGTACATATTAGTGTTAGCCAAATCCCATAGAAATCCTTTCTACATTTCAAATTCGGCATGCACAGATTTTCATGCACAGAAATGTATGTGCAAACGTATTTTGTCTACATCAGAAATACAATATAGTTTTGAATGATCGGTACTAGAAAGAGCACTTGACTTGATAATAGAAGATCTGGATGGAAATGCTTTTTTCTCTACCTCATAACCACAGTAAATTAAGCAAGTTACTTAACTTTACTGAGTTTTGTGTCTATTATTTGACTGACCATCCTTACCTCTACAACAGTGTTTATTAACTCATTAAATAAGTCTTTGCCTGGTAGTAGAATAGCAACAGTGAGCAAGTAGACATTGTTCCAACTTCTACAAATAGATCAGACAACTAAAAATTAAAATAAAGCATAATAAATTCTAGAATTGATTATCAAGAATACATAATATTATGGAAATAGCTACCAGAAGCACTTAACCAATATATAGATATATTGCAGTATAACATCCTAAATTATATATTGACCGTTTAAGATTCTCCAGCTATAGTGAGAACAAAATCTATAAAACTATACCAGGTCTTGATTTCTTTTTGTTTTTTTTGGTACCCTCATTACAACCTAATGAAGATAACCATGTATTATCTTTTCTTAACAATTCTTCATAGATTATATTTTCTCCAGCAAATTTGTTTGCTGAAATTATATCGTATATAGGGAAAAGTCATTTCTCTTTTATATCATATATTTTCTTTTAATGAAATCTGACTGAAATGAGGAATAATTTTCACTCCTCTTGCTTTATGACAGTGAAGTATCTTTCAAGAACAAAGTTGGGATATTTGACTTTCATTGTCCTGAGTAAAATAGTGCCTAAGTCAAATAGTACATAAATTATATTTAAAGAAGTATAGACAATATCTAGACTCAAGTTCTAAAATAATGATAGTCTTCTAAAAATGATTTGCTGGAAGAATAATTCTGTAATTGATAAATTCTCTTTTAAAGTGAGCATGATTCATAGCTTAGATGAGTGCTGATTTTCAATTATGAAGGACAGCAGCATCTCTATTTAGAAATAAAATCAAGGCCGGGCACAGTGGCTCACGCCTGTAATCCCAGCACTTTGGAAGGCTAAGGCCAGTGGATTGCTTGAGGACAGGAGTTCGAGACCTGCCTGGCCATCATGGCAAAACCCCATCTCTACTAAAAATACAAAAAATTAGCCGGGTGTGGTGGCACATGCCTGTAATCCCAGCTTCTTGGGAGGCTGAGGTGTGAGAATTGCTTGAAGCTGGGAGGCAGAGGTTGCAGTGAAATGAGATCAAGCCACTGCAGTCCATCCTGGGCAACAGAACAAAACTCTCTCTCCAGGAAAAAAAAAAAAAAAGAAAGAAAGGAAAAGAAATCAAGAAGCTTAAGGCAGAAAATAATGATTACAGCAAAAAATAAAAATTTTTCAAACTTTCAATTTACCATTCATTTTAGATGTTATTAAAATGAAGAATATTTTTAAACACTAATTTTATTATCGTTTTATTCCCTAAACATCTGAAGTTTGATTTTGAGTAAGTAAATATAGTCTATAGTCACATATGTTCCTGTACCTTAAAAGTTAGCAAAGAATTTTGTGCTTAGAATAACCAGCAAGTTGTGTTTTTTTTTTTTTTTTTTGCTCTTAGGAAGAAAATATAAATACTATCAATATCTAATTGAAGTTATCAATATCTAAAGTTTATACAACAATTAAAATGTAGATGTATTGAAATATCTTTATATGAGGGATATATACCTTTAATCCACTAATGTCTAATACTATATTCAAACAAAATATGTAATTATTACTTCTTTGTAGGTTTCTCTTACTGTCCTTTGAGCAAAAGAATTTAGATTGCTCTGGTTAAGTTATATTCTTAACTCAGGGTTTTTAATGTATGAGTCTGAAAGGCAGTGTGAATTCCTTTACCTATAAAAATGGCACTGCTGATTCTATATCAGCATAATATTTTCTCTGGGATGTTTTCCTAGTAGTGTTAGTTTTTACAAAGTATTGAATATTGTCACTATTTTCCTTTGTGAACACCAGGGTGATTATGTGATATGGCTAGGTCATTGGCTAAACCTGGGTTCCCAAGTCTCTGGAGAAGCTCATAAAATGGCCATACTTCCAGCCTAAATCAAGTCACTAACTGGTGACGGCAAATTATTTTTTTCCTATTTTTAAGAGCCTAACCAAAATCAATAAGACTATACTAGACATCAAGCTTCTTTGCTTTTGCTGAAATTATATCAACATTGGTATGACAATATGTTCAGCTATTAATGACATTATAGAAATAGATTCTACACATACCGTCAACACACAACAAAAAGGTTGGAAACCAGTGAATTAGTGAGATCAAAAATACATTCTCTGAACAAAAATATGTTTTCTTTTGTGAACATTTACCTCATCTGGGGGGTGTTGAGCAATAATATTCTCTGCATTATTGGTTAGATCCAGCATTTCTCAAACATACTGGTCTCCAGACCCCTTCATGCTTTTAACAATTATTAAGGACCCCAAATTACTTCTGTTTATGTGGGTTATATCTAACAATATTTGTTGTACTAGGAATTCTGAGGGCCAGGCATGGTGGCTGTAATCCCATCACTTTGGGAGGCCAAGGCAGGTGGATCATCTGAGGTAGGGAGTTCAAGACCAGCCTGACCAATGTGGAAAAACCCTGTCTCTACCAAAAATACAGAATTAGCCAGGCGCGTTGGCACATGCCTGTAATCCCAGGTACTCAGGAGGCTGAGGCAGGAGATTCGCTTGAACACGGGAGGCGGAGATTGCTGTGAGCCAAGATCATGCCATTACACTCCAGCCTGGGCAACGAGAACGAAACTCCATCTAGCTAGAAATAAAAATAGTAAAGCCTTTACATGTTAACATAAACAACATATTTTATGAAAAAATAAGTATATTTTCCACAACCAAAGAAAATCTGAAAATAATGGCATTGTTTTACATTTTTTCAAATATATGTTAATATCTCGCTTAATAGAAAATAGCTGGATTCTCACATTTGCTTCTGTATTAAGTCTTGTAATATGTTGTTCTGATTGAAGAATAAACAAATTGAGCCTCATATAGATATATAGTTAGAAAAGGAAGGACTATATTGTTCACATTTTTTTATAATTGTGGATGTTCTTTGATACCATACCAAAAATTTACAATTTTTAGTTTAGTAAAGGTTAGTTGAAATGTTGAATCTAAAACCCTGGCTAGGACCATTCCATACTCACACCTTAAAATCCATTGGTCTGTCTTGCACTTCAAATGGATCTTTTACCCAGGCATGATTTTGGAACACATATATTGGTCATTTGGAAAATATAAATTCTTCCAAAAGTTGACATATTTTGTTATATTATATCAAAAAGTCACCTTCATTAATATAATCACCAAGCTCATCTAAAAAGTCTGGAATGTACTGGAAGCTCTTAAGCTCATAGTGGCACATAGACATTTTCTAAGTTCTAATTTATGCTTTGAAGCTAGAAATTGGGCTGGGCGTGGTGGCTCACATCTGTAATCGTAGCACTTTGGGAGGCTGAGGCAGGCGGGTCACTTGAGGTCAGGAGTTCGAGACCAGCCTGGCCAACATGGTAAAACCCTGTCTGTACTGAAAACACAAAAATTAGCCAGGTGTGGTGGTACATGCCTGTAGTCCCAGCTGCTTGGGAGGCTGAGGCAGGAGAATCACTTGAACCCAAGAGGTGGAGGCTGCAGTGAGCCGAGATTGCACCATTGCACTCCAGCCGGGGCAAAAGAGCAAGAGTCTGTCTCAAAAAAAAAAAAAAAAAGAAAGAAAAAAAAGAAAAAAGCTAGAAATAGTATTACTGGCAAAAAAGCAACAAATAGTTTTTTCTTAAATTGACAGACTTTGTTTATTTTTGAGAAAATGTATACCAAACATCTAAGTCTGAATAATAATAATTTATTAGTTATTTCATTCTTTCAAGTAAAAATGGTATTCTGTATTAAAAACTAGCTATTCAGCTTACAACTCAAACAATTGCATAAATAAGTGATTTTCCTTGAGACAACCACCATCCTTTGGTATGCAGAAGTATTTTGTTCATACGCCCCATTTTGTCACATTCAAGGCTCAAGTTTTAATTAATTTAATTTTCCCATTTTGTCACATTCAAGGGCCAAGTTTTAATTAATTTTAATTAATTAAATTTAATTTAACTAATATTAAATAGTAAATTTAATGTGTATTAATATTGTCATATAATATTGTAATTACTCATGTAAATGTAAATATTACATTGAGGATATAGTAAATATTAAATTTACTATGTCATTGAGGACAGTATTTCAAACTAGCTTTTTTAAAAAGAAAAACAGAAGATGGCAGTGAATAGAACAGTGATTGTTCATACTACTTGGATCTACTGCCTTAATTTATACTAGGATGTCAATCCACCATTGATTTTGTACCATCAGTGCAAATGTCAACGTAGCCAAAAAGGCAAATAATGTCTGAGTACTATTACTAAAATAATTTTGACTTTGTCAAGCCCTGAAAGGGTCTCCAGGACCCTCATGGGTTTGTGGATCAACTTAAAGAACCATTGATAAAATCAAATGAGCAAACTGGCTTATGTTTCTTGAAAATATTCTGGATGAAAATGATGGCTATTGAATCCTTTATATATATATTTTTTTTCCATAGAAGCAGTATTATAGTGGTATACTCAGTCCAAGAGATCTGATCCAATGACTACCGGTACCATGGTTAAGCATTATAAATAGTTTACCTGTCCTCTGTGATCCAGGTTAATCCTAGGGCAGGGAACACCTACACCTCTCTGATTCCAATGACAGACTTCATTAAATTTTTGAAGATATAAGACCAGAAGTTATAATTCCCAGCTAACTCCATTCATTTTCAATGTGGTATTACTTCTGCACTTGGATAATAACTAATTTTCCCCAGGATATTCTGTCTACTAATAGATAACATACAAAGCCCTCTTTTAAGAAATAGGCCAGACGTGGTGGCTCACACCTGTAATTCCAGCACTTTGGAACGCCAAGGCGGGTGGATCACCTGATGTCAGGATTTAAGACCAGCTTGGTCAACATGCTGAAACCCTGTCTCTACTAAAAATACAAAAATTTAGCTGGGCGTGGTGGTGGGCGCCTGTAATCCCAGCTACTCGGGAGGCTGAGGCAGGAGAATCGCTTGAACCCGAGAGGCGGAGGTTGCAGTGAGCTGAGCTCACGCCACTGCCGTCTAGACTGGTGACAGAGCAAGACTCTGTCTCAAAAAACAAAAAAAGAAAAGAAAAAAAGAAATAACCTGGTTGTTGGCAGATAATTCTATTGAGTATATAACTGGGGATAGCTCATTTTTGAAATCAGTTTAGAACATTTAAAATGTGGGAAATTCAAATAAAAATGCAAATTTTCACTGTTTTCTAAAAAGTCAGATCAACATTGCTGGCCCACCACTGATATAATACTCTATATCAATACTCAGCTAATATTCTTTAGACCCTCCAGACTATTTTACTCACTTACATTAAATGCCTGACTCCTATGGACATTTAAGTAACTGATTTCTGCCCTAATTCTCTGTTATCTAATTTCTCCTCCCTTATAACATGTTTGTTTGGGGATTTATTCTCATTTGTTAGCGAAGCAGAATTTTGAGACTTCAAATAAAAGACAATTCCTTTACACCCTTTTCTAATGAGAAAGGCACTACCTAGTATGGGAAAGAATTTAATATTTTGATGAAACTAAAATTACACAATAAAGCATTTTAACTATTTTTGGTCTATAACTTATTTTCAATAGTTTTCCTCTGATGTTCTGCTGGGTATGTAGGATTTTACCTCGATTTTTCTTTTTTCGTTCATGCAAGTGTCCCCTTTGTTTTTCATTATAATTATCATTATAATGATAATTGAAAATGAAACTTCCCCATCTATTTCTAATTATTTAATGGTCACAGAGCTATGTTTATTACTGAAGCTAAATGTAACAACTATGAAATGTATAATTGCCACTCTGAAGTCTAAACTTGCAAATGAAATTTGATATCTGAGAAGATATAGCAAACCAAAAATTGCTAACTGTAGAATTAACATTTTATAGCTAAGACAGACTGTAAGTGGTATAGTTTCTGTATAGTTTCTTTTTTGTTTAAAAAAAATGTACTTACTCATTTGGAAAAAATTTTTAAAATTCACATAAAAAAGTTCTTATAAAATACCCTTCATAAATAACCACTGTTAAAATTTTGCTATGTATCATTCTCTTATGTTTTTCTATGCATTTAAATTCTTATCATACCAAGAAGGCAGTGATTAAGAGCTCAGTTTCTGGAGTCTGACAGGCCTGATGATGAATCACTTAATACATGTGTGGCTTTCAAAAAGTTACTTCACCTCTATAACCTTAATTATCTCATCTGTAAAATGAAAAATAATGATACTATTTGCTTCATAGGGTTGTCTTAAGAATTTAAGTTAAAAATGTATATAAATCACAGCACAATGATTAAAATATAAGTACTCATTAAACAGTAGCCATTATTATTAAATTGTCTATAGCTTTTAACCTATCTTGCTTACTTAGTAATATGAGCATCTTTCTATGTCATGAACATCTTTATATGTTGTAAATTACCTTCTACAATATTACTTGGATTTTTGATATTCTAATTGATAGATGTGACATAGTTTTTTCACCAACCCGTATTTTGGATATTTTTGTTGTGTCTTATTTTCTAGTTTTAAAAACAATGCTGTAGATAATCTTTCAGAAGTTAAAGGTTTTGGAGTCATCTCTTAATCAAACTCAGTAACTTCTGTTATTTCTACTTTTATTGAAAGTATATGCAGAACTTTTAGGTCTAAGATTTCTATATTTTACATTGACAGCAGGAATAGATCATTTTTATGTCTTCATGAGTTTAATGATATATTGGAAGAAGCAGTTTTTAGCATTTGCATTTGACTGATTTACTGGCAGACATTTAAAAACTATAAACCCAAAGTCGTCTGAAAAGCTAACAAGCTTGAGTGTGTAAAAATATTATACTGCGAGGCACAGCATATTGAGTACCAGCCCTAGGCTACCATATTATAACTTTATGAGGGCTGGGCACAGTGGCTCATGCCTATAATCCCAGCACTTTGGGAGGCCAAGGAGGGAGGATCACTGAAGCCCAGGAGTTCAGGACCAGCCTGGGCAACATAGTGAGACCCTGTCTCTACAAAAAAAAAAAAAATTTAATTAGCTGGGCATGGTGGTAAGTGCCTATAGTGCCAGCTACTCAGGAGAATCACTTGAACCCAGGCGGTTAAGGCTGCAGTGAGCTGTGATGATGCCACTGCACTCCCAGCCTGGGTGACAAAGCAAGGCTCTGTCTCAAAAAATAATAAATAAATAAAACTATGAGGACTAGTTGACCTCAGTTTCTGTTATTTGTAACACCAAGATATTAAATAACCTCTAAAGTCCCTTGTAGGCTTATAATTCTTTTCTTTTGAAATAGTTCCAGTATCAACTAAAAAATATTTTTAAGCCCTTCTCTCTCTGATATTTTATTAATCTCCAATTAATACAGAATAATTTACATGTGTTTATCTTTTGCATTCTGTTCTAGTACATAAAGTACTAGAGACAGAGATTATTAACAGAAAATGTTCTAACTTCACTTAAGATCTTTTACATTTAGGTAAAGCTTGTCTCTGTTAAATGAAATATTGATTTCTCTCGATATCCACTCTAGTTTTGTTCAAGTTATGAGAAGATAGGGAAGTGAACTGTTGAAATACAAGAAATTGTGAAATTAAGAATACTAGCATTCAGTATAATTAAATAGCTTTGATTCATTTCAACTGTTTTTAATTGTTTGGGACATATTTTGTATAAAACAGCCCAACAAATATAAGTGGTCCGTCCTATCATTATTTCAGCAACAAAATTTGTTAGATATTGGCATGATTTAGAGCTATTTAATATCCCATTTTGACTTTAATATAGAGTACATCCCATAGTAAACTATCCTCTGGATCTTCATATCTTACAAGGATACATATTCTAAAATTAGGTATTTTCTGGCCCAAAATTTCAGGATTATCTCCCTACTCATTCTACTTTTGTTAAAGAGAAAACACAGAGTAATTCAGAAATTCATTGAATATTTCAGTGAATATTTTTAAATGCATATTATATGTCAAATACTGTATTAGCTATTGGGGATACAGCAATGAATAGACATTTTAACCCTGTTCTTAAGGAGCTTATAGTGGTAATATGTGAAAATAAAATATTTACAAGAAATCTACCATATACAGGGTTGACAACCTCAAAGAGCTCTTCTAATCCAGTAGGAAAAAGTAAAAAAAGGATGAGTAAAAGGTAAGCATAGTCATTTAATAAAATAAATACATGCAGCACAGAAATATGTGGGGGGGGGGGGAGTACACTCTCACTAGAAATCTACTAAAAATTTAAAACAACACAAATTTTGCAATCAAATTGATGACTATTTAAAAACTATAATCATCAGTACTGTAATGAGCAATGACATGAGTATTTCTTTTCAGACTAATAGGAATATAACCTTTCAAGCAATAAATTCGTATAACCTTTCATACACATGTGTTGTATACCTGTGTTCTCTACTTAAAAAGTATATACAGGCCGGGCGCGGTGGCTCATGCCTGTAATCCCAGTACTTTGGGAGGCCGAGGCGGATGGATCACGAGGCCAGGAGATCGAGACCATCCTGACTAACACGGAGAAACCCTGTCTCTGCTAAAAATACAAAAAATTAGCTGGGCATGGTGGTGGGCGCCTGTAGTCCCAGCTACTTGGAAGGCTGAGGCAGGAGAATCACTTGAACCCGGGAGGCGGAGGTTGCAGTGAGCCAAGATCGCGCCATTGCACTCCAGCCTGGGTGACAGAGCGAGACCCCATCTCAAAAAAAAAAAATTATGTTTTAATCAGTCATTTTGTCTCTAGAAATGTATCCAAAATAAATTATTAAAGAGGCCATCTCAAACTATGTACAGGAATTTTTATCACAGCATTATTTATATTTGTGAAAAATTAGAAATAATTTTAATGTGTATGGAAAATAACTTGTATTAATAGTACACACATATATAAGTTATTCTATAACCTTAAAAATCATCTCATTAAGAATATTTAATGACATGAGAAAATGCTGAAACTACAATGTATAGTTTAAAAATTAGTAAACAATACTGTGTAGGAATAGAATAGCAAATTATTTCACAATATACATTATTTTTAAAACCAGGAAAATATACATATCTGTTTGGTTTTTGTTTGTGTATTTTTTAGATAGGATCTGGTAATTACACGGATGTCCTTTGGCCTATTTTTCAGATTTGTAGCCAAACTTAATAAAGCCAACTAGAGTTATTTATACCTATATTTACAGGCATACCTTGGAGATATTGTAGGTTCAGTTGCAGACCACTGCAATAAAGCAAAAATTGCAATAAAGTGAGTCACACAAATTTTTCGGTATCCCAGTACCTGTAAAAATTATGTTTATACTCTCCTGTAGTCTATTAAGTGTGAAAAGGATTATGTCTAAAAAAACACACTGTGCATACCTTAATTAAAAAATACGTTAGTCCTAAACCGTTATTACAATCATCTGAGCCATCAGCAGGTCATAATCTTTTTGCTGGTAGAGGGTCTTGCCTCAATGCTGATGGCTGCTGACTGATCAGGGTAGTGGCTGCTGAAGGCTGGTGTGGCTGTGGCAATTTCTTAAAATCAGACAAGTTTGCCAGATCGATTGACCCTTCCTTTCACAAGAGATTTTGCTGTAGAATGCAATGTTGTTTGAATGCATTTTTTCTACAGTGAAACTTCCTTCAAAATTGGAGTCAATCCTCTCAAACCCTGCTGCTGCTTAATCAAGTTTATTTATGTAAAATCATTTGTTGTAATTCCAACAAAGTTCACAGCATCTTTACCAGGAGTAGATTTCATCTCAAGGAACTCCTTTCTTTGTTCCTTCATAAGAAGAAACTTGTCATCTGTGAAAGTTTTATCATGAGTATCACAGTAATTCAGTCGCAACTTCAGGCTCCCCTTCTAATTGTAGTTCTTTTGCTATTTCTACCACATCTGCAGTTCTTTCTCCTCCACCGAAGTCTTCAACTCCTAAACATCCATATGGTTGGAATCAACTTCTTCCAACTCCTATTAATGTTGATATTCTGGGCTCCCATGAACCAAAAATGTTCTGAATGGCATCTAAAATAATGAATTATTTCTGGATGGTTTTCAATTTACTTTGCTCAGATCAATTATAGGAATTACTATATGGCAACTGTATAGCCTTACGAAATCTATTTTTAAAATAATAACATTTGAATGTTGAAATTACTTCTTGATCTGTAGGGTGAAGAGTGGATGTTGTATTAGCAGGCATGAAAACATTATCTCCTTGTATATCCCAATCAGAGCTCTTGGATGACTAGGTACAATGTCAATGAATACTTATATTTTGAAAGGAATCTTTTTGTCTAAGCAGTGGATTTAACATATTTAGTAAACCATGCTGCAAAAAGATGTGCTGTCATCTAGGCTTTCTTGTTCCATTTGTAGAGCACAGGCAGGGTAGATTTTGCATAATTCTTAAAGGCCATAGTACTTCCAGAATGGTCACTAATCATCGGCTTCCACTTAAAGTCAGCAGCTGCATTATTCCCTACCAAGATAGTCATCCAGTCCTTTTAAGTTTTAAAGCCAGGCTTTAACTTCACCTCTCTAGCAATGAAAGTCCTAGATGACATCTGCTTCCATTTATATAAGGCTGTTTTATCTACACTGAAAATCTGTTGTTTAGTATAGCTGCCTTCATCAAGGATTTTAGCTAGATTTTCTGGGTAACTTGCTGCAGCTTCTACAGCAGCACTTGCTGCTTCACATTGCTCTTATGTTATAGAGACATCTTCTTTCCTTAGACCTCATGAGCCAACCTCAGCTAGCTTTCAACTTTTCTTCTGCAGTTTCCTCACCTTACTCAGCATTCATAGACTTGAAGAAAGTTACAGCCTTGGTCTGGATTTGGCTTTGGCTTTAAGGACTGTTGTGACTGGTTTGGTCTTCTATCCAGATCACTCAGACTTTCTCCATATTAGCAATAAGGCTGTTTCACTTTCTTCTCATTCATATGTTCACTGGCGTACCACTTTAAATTTCCTTCCAGAACTTTTCCTTTGCATTTACAACTCAGCTGTTTGACACAAGTAGCCTAGCTTTCTGGCTGTGTCAGCGTTCAGCATGCCTTCCTCACTAAACTTAGTCATTTCTAGCTTTTGATTTAAAGTGGTAGACATGCAACTATTCCTTCTACTTGAACTCTTAGAGGCCACTGTAGGTTTATTAATTGGCCTAATTTCAATATTATTATGTCTCAGGGAATAGAGAGGCCAGCCCACAGAGAGGTAGAAAGACAAGGAATGGTCAGTCTGTGTAGCAGTCAGGGCACACACAGCATTTATCAGTTCAGTTCACTATCTTACATGGGCACCATTTGTGGTACCTCAAAACAATTGCAAAAGTAGCATCAAAGATCGCTGATCATAGACAACCATAACAGATATAATCATAGTAAAAAGTTTGAAATATTGTAAGAATTATCAAAATGTGACACAGAGACAGGAAGTGAGCACTTGCTGTTGGAAAATTGGTGACGATAGATTCGCTTAACACAGGGTAGCCACAGACAAACCTTGAACTTGTAAAAAATGCAATTATCCATGAAGCACGGTAAAACGAGGTATGCCTGTATACCACAGCATTTTTACATCCAGGCTAAGCCAGTCTCTTCTTAATCCTGCTGGATAGAAAATTTTATCATATTTCAGTGAAAGTTCAAAGATAAACTTTTTTTTGGTCTCATGTGCAAATAATAAAAAAAATTAAGAACATATAATGTGCTGCCTAAAGGTTATTTATTTTAACCCACATAATAACTCTTTTATTAAAGATGGGTTTTATAATTTCTTTTTAGACAGATAAGAAATTTGGAAAAAATAATTTCAGTTTAATTATTCTCTAGTTAGTGAACAGGAAATAATTTATATAAAGGTCTAATTTTATATAGATTAGATTTAAAGGTCTAATTTTGTATAGATTATACTGTCTTGGAATTAAAACTATATAGAACTTTAAGATCAAAATTATAAATGTGTAATAAAATATAAATAAATAAATGCAAATGTTAATATATCATTAGACATCAGAACCTTTAAAAAAGATGATTTCCTGGCTGGGTGCAGTGGCTTACACCTGTAATCTCAGCACTTTGGGAGGCCAAGGCAGGAGTATCACCTGAGGTCGGGAGTTTGAGACCAGCCTGACCAACATGGAGAAACCTTGTCTCTATTAAAAACACAAAATTAGCTGGGTGTGTGGTGCATGCCTGTAATCCCAGCTACTCGGGAGGCTGAGGCAGGAGAATCACTTGAACCCGGGAGGCAGAGGTTGCGGTGAGCCGAGATTGCGCCATTACATTCCAGCCTGGGCAACAAGAGTGAAACTCCGTCTCAAAAGAAAAAGATTTCCTAAGGATAAAAATATGGCAGAGGGGTTTAGAGGATCTGTAACTTGCCACCATGATTCTAACTTTTGACTTCTCACTTCTTACTCTTTGCAACTTTCCTTGACCTTTTTTATCCTTTTATTAGTTTAGTTTTATAATTGTATTTCCTTTCCTCCAGAAACACATTAGCAATTATTTTTCCTTGACACATTTGTATATTAATCACCTCTCTTTCATTTCTTTCTTCCTTCCTTTATACTTATCTTAATAAATCACAAATTAAAATGTTCTATGATGAGGCACCAGCTTTACTGAAAGGGCTGAATAATATAATATTATAGTGAAGTGAAATATTAACTTAATTCCAAAAGTACTTTGTTATTTATAGGAATTTGTTTAAATGTTGAGCTCTTAAGCAAAACTTTAAAAAAAAAATCTCTTTCTCCAAATCATAGCTACCAGAAACGATCTATAGCTGCCCCAATATATACTGAGTGATACTGGTTGGAAAATAATTTCTAAGAAAAAAGTTTTATTTCTTTTCATTGATAATCATAATTTTTTTAAAAAGCCATGATATGGTATAATAAGGTTAAAAATATTAGTCTCAGAATAGTTCTGAAGGTAAACTAGATCTAAAAATAAAATGGCCAACTCCTTAGCACAAACAAACAGAAAGAAATGTTGGTTTAATCTATGTAATTTTATTCTAAACTGATACAAAATGTATTATGGAGAGAAGGGGAGAAGGTCTACATTCGTTATTCCATAGGTAAGAGACTAAATTTAATTAAACAACCTGAGAGTCAGAAGGTAATATCAGCTGTACTTTCATATTATTTATTGATGCATTCAGAAAGCCACTGAACTTCTCCAGACCTTGGTTCCCTTATCAGTAAAAGAAACACACAAAATATACAACATTTTCTAAAACATTTTCACTAAACATTTTGTAACTAAAGAAAAATATGAATGTATATACCCAGTGATATGTGAGTGTACCTTAATGCAGTTATCATAAGCCTGAAATTTCTTTGAAGTTTTGTATTTTATTTTAAAAATTAATATCAAGTTGATTTTTAAGCTATGAAATATATGTTTGGTTTAATTAAAATACTACATTTACAATTATTTTTGGCAAGAGAAGTGAGGGTGGGGCTAGATAGTTTTCTACCTTGTTAATGGTAGAAATCGTTTTCAGTGAGCTCAGTTTTGGGAAACTGAGCTAAATCAAAGGGAATCAACATCACATATTAGTTTAGGATCCAGGCAATTTCTTTTGTTGCATAATATTACTAGAATCCAAATTCTTGGAAAAAAAAGTAAATAGAAATGTCAAAGTCATTTTACTACAGGCCAGATCCTGGTAATTAATCACTGAGGATAGTTTCCCCAGTAATTAATCCCTGAGGAAAGATTCCCAGAATGTTGCAAAAGAGGTAATACAGTGCAACATTTTCAGAATATTTCTAAGGAATACTTTGTTAAATATATTCTAGTTGAGAGACTGAATAGAAGATTGAAGTATTTTGGATCCCATGGATAATATCTTTTAACATCTTGGTAAAATACTTGTCAAAAGATTTCTTCATGATTAATGATGACATTTTTTGTTTTGCTCCTAAATTTTGATTATCAATATATATAAGTAAACTAGTAATCTCAATTTACTCCACAATCCTCACAATTATTTACATTCAATTCTCAGACTTTGTTTATAATGCCGTGATAGTACAATATAAACATTTACAGTTTAACCTCTCTTAGCTACTGATAGTGTTTTGCCTTTAGAAAAGTATGAATAAAAATAGCTAATGATGTGAAGCTCTTATTATTAAGAATAGTAAAGTCATTCATCTTATCTGAATGCTAATCTTTTGTGATTTCTTTTAAATTCTTATCTAAAATGTAATAATCAAGCATTTGGCCGGGCACGGTGGCTCACGCCTGTAATCCTGGCACTTTTGGGAGGCCGAGGCAGGCGGATCACATAAGGTCAGGAGTTCAAGAGCAGCCTGGCCAACATGGTGAAACCCTGTCTCTACTAAAAATATAAAAATTAGCCAGGTGCAGTGGTGTGCACCTGTAATCTCAGCTATTCAGGAGGCTGAGGCCGGAGAATTGCTTGAACCCAGGAGGCAGAGGTTGCGGTGAGCTGAGATCATGCCACTGCACTCCAGCCTGGATGACAGAGCCAGACTCCATCTCAAAAAAATAATAATAATAATCAAGCATTTGGATTAGCTGTGAATTTCTTTTATGTATACTACCCCACTATAACTGATGATTAATGGAGGACTAAAATAAATAAGGACATTACATTTTAAATCTACTGATTTCACTTTTCTCTATTTCTCAAATTCTAGTTTATATAGACATCCTTTTCAAATTCTTTCTGAAGTTTTTCAGTATTAGGTATTATTGTTACCTGTTTCAGAAGCTGCAAAAAAATCACATGAAACTTGAATTGTAGCCAGATGAAACTTGAATTGTAGCCATTTCTGGCTTTGAAAAACACCTTGGCTTTCTAAGGTTTTCCTCTTATGATGGTTTCAAAGACAGGCTTGTTTATAGAAATTTGAAATCAAGCATTGATGAGTGGTTTGCTCCCAAAGTCTCTATATAAATCAGTCTTATAATCTAGTTTTTACATTCAGAGTTTAGTGGTAACTGTCTTTTTTTCTTCTTATAATTCATTGTTTAAGTTTCTATACTTGCATTTGGAACTGAAATGGTACAGGAAAAATGTCTTCCATATATATAGTAACGTAAAATTTCTTCCACAGATGGAGAGAGACAGACAGACATAGTACATATACATACACATTCTGTTATAAGCATTAATTTTTTTCCATCCCATATATTTTCAGGCCTGCTAAGGGAATGCTACTTTAAACTAGAAATTAGGGACTGTTGATTTCGTTCTTAGATTTGTCATCAACTTCCAGTGTAACCTTGAAAAAGATACCTAATGTTGCTGAGCTTAATGTAATTTTAAGCCTTCTGGAAATAAAAGACAACATAGAAAATGGTGTTCACTTATTACTGTGTAAGTTCAGAACATCTTCACAGTTTCTGAAAATTTTCAGAAAGCCTCATGAGGCATCAGACTCTTATATTTTTATAGGAATCTACCAACTCTACCTTTATAATCTAGATATTGTGAATCTGCATTTAAGATGGAAAACAGCTTTTGATATAAAGACCTCAGAAATCAAAGAAAACAGCACAAGAGGATGAGCAGATATTATGAACTCACTCTGAATTCACTCCATAGGGAGCCCCTCTCTTATAGGTGCTGATGTTCTAGTTAGTATCCATTGTTTCTAAATTTGACAATTCTGTTCCACTAAGAATAGTAAGAATTGGTGATTATCTTTTGGCCATAACATTTAGTTAATGCTGAAAAATTAGTAAAACTTGTTTATATCCAGTAGAGCCAAAAGTTGATGCAACTCTTATATAGCAATATGCTTTTATTCAAAACGAAAATTCCATTTTCTCAATATGATTATTCCTCAGCAATTTCCATATGCTATCAGAGATCTTCTAAAAGGGATAAGACAATATATATCCTGCTTCCAGGAAATAAAATTTTATAGGATGTTCAGGTTTCTATTATTTCTTGAAGACTTTAACTGGGAACTTTTGGCATCACACTGATATTTCTGCTATCTCCTAATATAAGCAGGAACATCACAGCTAACTTGACCTATGCTGGTCTGAATTGAGACCTCATTCTGGAATCCATAGTGTAAAACCACTTAGTCTGAAGCTTCCTATCCCCTTTGCTCTTCACCCTGCCGTTTTTTTTTTATTGCCTCCCTCTTTATCCAAAACATTAGTTCTCATTAGAGCTCTATTTAAAAAGTACCTCCTCTAATAAAACATTTTGTGTTGAGAAACTTCCCTTGCTCATTTATGCAGTAATGTGAAATGAGTTATTTTAAAAAAAAAGTTTTACTTTTCATTTCCCGTCTTACCCAAGATAGCAAATTTTCCAAGAGGAAAATTCAGCTAAAATAACTGAAAGCTTTGAGGCAGTAAATATATCTAACATTGGTCTGGCATTAAAATTTTCTGGTTGGGCAGCACAATTGTTTAATTGGGAATCTCAGTGACAGCTGAACAACCTCAATGCTTGGGTCAGCAAGCAGAGGAGCTTCACTCTGTCACCTATCAAGAATGATGCTTGTCAGGACTGATCTTTCCACCTACAGAGCATTCATGTTTCTAGTCATACCATTTATGTTTTCTAATATTACAATGGAATAGACACTAAAACACTAAGAGAGAAAAGTACATAGGTATATTTGTAATTCTTTGTTTTTTGTAAGCCAAATGCAAATGTAACACTACTCCAGATACTGCTTCATCAGAAGTCCCCAAGATAACCAAAAGTAAGTGCCAATTTCCTCATCTCAGGGATAGTGCCATAACAAAGACTGAATTCTAGGGACCAGCCTATTTGCAGAGCATGTCATACAGCCTCTGGGTTAGTTAACTCCTTGGCCTCCTAAGAGCTACCACAGAGAGTCAATTGATGTTTTTGCATGTATTACTTACTAATGTATAGAAAAATTTTTAAGTTCACTTTTTCTTTATTCTGTCTTTCTTACCCATCTTCCCTCATTGTAGCAAATTAGACGGCCGGATGAAAGCAAAGGAGTTGCTAGTAGAGTTGGATCCCTCAAAGTAAATATGTTTCTAACATTTTTTGGCAAGATTTCGTCTATAGCCTACACTTCTTCCTTTTTGGAGGGTGGTGGGAGGAAGGGGGCTTTTTCCATTTTTCACCATCCCATTTTTTTTATTTTAATATTTTTATTGGCTGTTGGGTCATATTACTTTTTTTTTGTTTCAGCTACACATAGAGCAACCAGCTGAAGGCAAGCTGCCAAATAACTAGCTTTGAATGGCACCACAAACAACAGAAAGGGCAACTGCCTCATTACAGGTGCCTATAATTTGGGGTTCTAGAATAAACCGTTCCTCTGATTGATGTCACTGTGTGTTAAGTTCCTGTTACACAGAGAACTAACATTTATTTTCAGAATATTATCTCCCCTTTTAGCTTTTTTTTGTAAAAAAAATAATTTTAATGTTATTTTGGTATCATCACCATTTATAGTTCATTTCAGAGAAAAGTTATTATGAGTTAACAATATGTATTCAATACACATAATCTTAAGAAATTGAAAGAAAGAAATTTTATGTCATGTAGTATAATGGGCCCACATATAGCTGATAGTAGTTATGCCCTCTTAATCCCCTCTGTTTTATTTTTTAAATTTCAAAAAACTGATACAACAATCAACAGAACCAGATACATACCTAAATGTTTGTCCATTTGTGTATATAACCTGCTAATATACAATTGAAAGATTTCTAATTTGATCATCTTGTTTGCTAGTTGCTAAATATTTATTTGCTCAATATGCCTTGGGCACTCAGTACTCAAACATTTAATCATAATGAAAAGGTAAATAAGTTATCACTCTTATGAAACACAGACCAATCACATTTAATGCTGCCACCTTAAATGCAAGTTAGAAAATTTGCTGAATTCTAAAAATATGCAGAAGAATTACCTCACAAAAGTAATTATTTTCTTATATCTCAATCTCATTTGCCCTAACAGCAATAGTAACTGTTAAATTAATCAAAATGCTAGAAAATTCAGTGCACTGGGATGTCCTAAAATTTAATGACTACCTTGAGGCCTAATATTCAATCATTTCAAAATTTTGCACACCTCCAATTTATTTCCATTTTACAATTTATGAAATACTAATTTCTGCACTCTTTCCTCTCCTTGCCTCTTCTGCCTTCTTAGCTTTACTTTTTTGTTATTGTTTATTTGTTTGTGTGTGCGCACGCACATGAGTGCACATGGATGAAGGTGTGTTTGTATGTTTGTGTCCTTTATTTCAGAAAAGCCATCCTCTCTGTTCTCTAACACTGCTTTATAGTGGATAGCTATTTTATTAAAATGTTATTTCACCAAGGATAAGAAGAGGGGATGGGAAGTGTTAATAGTGTGCCTATTTCAAAAACTAGGCAATTTAAGATTATTCAGTCAGAAAAATGTGAGTTTGTGTATCCTGATGATATATCAGTAGCATTCCTCACTGTCTATCTGTGAGGTATCATATTTTATCTTTGTCTTTAAAGGAAGATAAATCCATTAATGGTTTAAACTATGGATTATGACTCAAATTCAGGTGAGAAGGTACAGAACGACATGACTTTTTGAAAATTACTGAAGGTGAAATAAAGATAAAAATGGCATCCATAACTGTAGCACCATGTACTGTAAACTGGATTGTATGTGCGAGTGCGCGTGCGTGCAGTTATCTCCGAGTTCAACTTCTGGATGTATAGAACTTCAAGTTATAAATGTATGTTTATTGTTTTTAAGTGTATATACAATATGAGTATGTATATACACATATATATGTTTAAGAACAAAAGATACGTTTTATAATTAAATCAGTTTATATTAATATGGATGCAGTCTTGAATCAAAAAGTGTGTTTGGGAAAGAAAGTCAAATTTCATAATATTTAAATATCTTTACTCCATGTTTCTACAAAATAGAAAATGTCAAAGTGAATCTCTAGGGGATTTATAAGGATGGTTATAGTATTTATTTTCTCTAATGCTTTGGGGAGAAAAGATGCTGTAATTAATCAAAATAAAATGTTGACTTCCTAGTCACGGGTTTGTTGAGCATGCATTCTTACGTTATAGAAAGACCTTTGATGTTTGAAATGTTTGCCAAAGGCAGTGAGAAATGTATAATGCTATGATCTTATTTTTAAAAGGAAAAAGGAAAACCGAAAAGAGAACAAGTTGCTTTTTCAATTCATTTTCTGATGTTTACATGTAGCTCCATCGAAAGCTGGAGGAGCTCAGAGATCACCTAGAAGGCAATGTGAAAGGATACTCTCTCAGAGTAAATGTACGATTTCACTTGGTGATTTTTTTTTCCCTAAACTTCTGCTGACTGGTAACTCCAAATCTGATTGGTTTGTCCTCTCATCTCCATCTTTTTCCTTTCTGTCTCTTTTCCCCCTCTTTCTTTCTTTTCTAGCTGCGGCTTCATGCTCCCATTTATGAAATAAAGATTAAATTAGCAGGGTAGAGGACCCTAAAGCCACACTGACTAACATTGCTGTTGACTTAATAATATTTTGGCCCCAGTGCAAAATAAAATCTTTCTTTTCAAAAATCACTATTTCTTATACAATTGTATACTTTTTTGAGGATCTTGTCATGAGACTTCATTTGGAGATTTTTCTATTGGTCATGTCTTCTACCCCTTGTTAGTTATGTCAGCAGAATAATAAATTATGAGCTGGATGTGAGGGGTATATCCTTGATGGTACAATTTCAATTTTCAAGGAAAATAATCAGTGTTAGGGTATCATAGGTAATCTGGCAAGTAGACACATTTGTTCTGAGTTAATAGACTTAACTCAGACTCTTTTAGAATAAATGTATGTCATTTTGTTTAAAAATAAGAAAATTAGCAGTAAGTACCTTCACCAGGAACACCTTCACGTAGCATCTTACAAATACTTGAGCTAAAGTCTAATATACCCAAGACAACCATTGAAGGAGGACAGTACCTCGTATCCACTCAATCCTGTACATTCATCATATAGTCAGAATTCATGATAGTATTTTTTGTGACAGATAGTTCAGACTATCAAGATTTTCAAGAAAAATCTCTAAATTGGTTTTGGTATAAATGTAGCAGAAGAAAAACTAAATTACTACAGTAATTTATGGCTTTCATTTCTGGGGTTTCCAAGAAAGTTCCTGTGAATCCTGGTATCCGATTTACTTCTCACAAGGTTATTACCATTCATTTAATTCACACAGCTGTAATAGTTTTGTTATAAAAACTAGAATTAAAGTTAGGGATATGATAATTATCTTATTTCTCAGCTTGTTTTTAATTGTATACCACACATAGTCATGTGTATCTCTACGCTAAATTTCTGATTATTGAAATACAAAGTGATTTTTATTAATAAGTTGTTAATTCTAATAACTAAACAGAAGGAATTAATACACGTGTCTCATATCTCTACTTCTTCCTTTGAGCTACTCTTTGTTTTCTGCACATATTCTTATAGAATTTTGAAAACCATCCATAATCACTCCCCAAAACCTATTTTGTCATTTTTTTTAAAAAAAAGATTAGTATGGATTTTATGATTAAATCAGTCTGGACATACCTAATTATTCTAGAAACCCATAAAAATATTTTAATATGTGTATTTTAGTCTTGTGCTCTTTCCTAATCAGTCATGAGAAGTAATTTTTCTTTTCAATGAAACTGAGACCAAAAAGTTGAGACTTGCTGATTTCTGTATGGTAATAAGTTAGTAAGAGACCAACATCAAATTTAAAATTTGATGCCTTAAAAATTAGGTTATCTCATGCCATTATTTAATTTCTTTTTTCAACACCTGTACTACTATATAATGATTAATCTCATTTTATTTCACTGAGAAACACTTTGTTCTGATTACCTTGTTTCTAAAAATATTAAATATAAGGTGTATCTGTCTAAGGATCCTGTTAACTGTCCAATATAGAAAAAAAAAAAAAAAAAACCTATCCAAAGGCAAGTAGTATCTTCTCTAGAGAGTTCAGCTAAGGAAACATGCAAATCAATTGCTTAGCTGAATTTTCAGTTTCTCTCCTTACCCTTTAATTCCTACTACCCAAGTATACCTTAAAGTGCCTTGAATATTAAAAATTGATGCTAAAAAGAAAAAGTTATTCTCAGAACCATAGACTATATTAGACAGGTTTTGTTTCTAAAATGAAGTAAATTGGCATTCGGTGATGATTTTGTTTCATGAAAATTTATTGTAGGTGTACACACACAAGAACAAGTGTATTAGTCCATTTCCACATTGCCATAAAGATACTACCTGAGACTGGGTAATTTATAAAGAAAAAAGGTCCAATTGACTCACAGTTCCACATGGTTTGAGAGGCCTCAGGAAACTTACAATCATGGCGGAAGGTGAAGGGGAAACAAGGTACGTTGTATATGGCGGCAGGAGGGGAGAGAG
Organism: Homo sapiens; assembly: GCF_000001405.40. Taxonomy (NCBI): domain Eukaryota; kingdom Metazoa; phylum Chordata; class Mammalia; order Primates; family Hominidae; genus Homo; species Homo sapiens. The sequence continues at coordinate 66,990,142 of NC_000014.9, forward strand.
CACAGGGAAAACTGCCACTTTTAAAACCATCAGATCTAGTGAGAACTCCCTCACTATTTACAAGAACAGCATGGAGAAAACCACCTCCATGATCCTATCACCTTCCACCAGGTTCCTCCCTTGACATGTGGAGATTACAATTCGAGATGAGATTTGGGTGGAGACACAGAGCCAAACCATATCAACAAGTATATGAGGTGTCTTTTACTTCATTAAAATGCTGGTGAAGATTTCAATTAGATGAAAGAGTCAGAACCATGTTCCTTATACAATTGTATAATTTTCTGAGGATCTTCTCATGAGACTTCATTTGGAGATTTTTCTGTTGGTCGCGTCTTCTACCCTTAGTTATGTCAGCATGATTACAGATTATGAGCTGGATCTGAGGGTTACAGCCTTGATGATTCAATTTCAATTTTCAAGGAAAATAATTACTATTAGAGTATCATCATAGGTAATCTGGCAACTAAGCACATTTGTTCTGAATTAACAGACTTAACTCAGACTCTTATGTACATAACCTACAGTTACTTTTACATAACAGCAGAGTTGAATAGATGAAACACAGATTATGTGGCCCATAAAGTCTAATATTTTATTTAATAGTTAAATTTTAAAAAATTCAATTAAATATTTTATTTTATGGAGAATTTAAGATATCATTCAGAAGTGCAGGATGAAGATTTAATTTGCTAATAGTTTAATTTGCTAATAAATAAAAATTAAAATATTTTAAAATTAAATATTTAATATAGAAGGTTTGACATCATTCAGAAGTGTGAGATAAGGATTTAATTAAATCATTAATGCTTGAATTGGATGATGTAGACAATATGTTATTTTGTAGAAAGGGAAGAGCCCTGTACCACTATTGATTAAGGATAATGTAATCAACAATATAAAATAGAATATTCTAAGATACAATGTTTTGAATAATGTTTATTTCTCATATTAAAATGTATTATTTATTCAACATTGATTCATAAAATGGGATGTATTAGATTATTGATTTTTAACTTAAAAATGCATCATCTTTTTCTCTATATCATTCAAAGCAGAAGTATTTTGAACTTTAAGTGCGTTTTTAGTAATTTTAGTAATAATAAAATCATCATCTTGTACCTAAGCAGAATTTTACTACCTTAATGACTACAAAAATTACTACAAATCCTTAGATTGGTGATGTGCTGATAGTAACTGAAGAATAAAACCACATAGAGGAAAAATTAATTTTCCATTTAGTCAAATGGATGAATCTATTAAGAAGAATATTAAAAGTAATGCACAGGCTTGAAGGCCAGTGAAGACAATGTTGAGAATTGAAAAACACAGGATAAGGCAGGGGACGGTGGCTCATGCCTGTAACCCAGCACTTTGGGAAGCCTCACTGAGAAACACTTTGTTCCGATTACCTTGTTTCTAAAAATATTAAATATGAAGTATATCAGTCTAAGGATCCTATTAACTGTCCAATATAGCAAAAAAAAAAAAAAATTTAAAGGCAAGTAGTATCCTCCCTACTTGCGGGCTGATCACTTGAGACCAAGGGAAAAACCTCCTGTCTACTAAAAATACAAAAAATTAGCCAGGCATGGTGGCATATGCCTATAATCCCAGCTACTTGGGAGGCTGAGGCACAAGAATGATTTGAACCCAGGAAGTGGAGGTTGCAGTGAGCCAGGATCGCTCTGCTGCACTCCAGCCTGGGCAACAGAGTGAGACCCTGTCTAAAAAAAAAAAAAAAAAGAAAAGAAAAGAAAAACATAGAATAAGATAATCCAAAGTAATACTTTCTTTACAGAATATAAATCAAGGTAAATTTACAAAGAATTTGATTAGTTGACGAGCAGTGGGGCCAAAGAGAGCCTAAATATTAAGATATTCAGGAAAAAAGTAGATAAATGTTCATGAAATAAAGATAGTTAAAAGAAAAGAAAGGAAAGGAATGAAAATACTCATATGCCACAATTTTGTATTTTCATCTGAATACTCAGTTTATGTATTATGATATTAAATTTCTATTCAGCTACAAATATGTGTAGATAGGTTTTGGCTGACCAAGTGTGATTTTTTTAAGGGCTATGATAAACAAAAAGGAATATGGTTCATGAAGACAGATTACTGGCATATAAGTGAAACTAAGATGGAAAGTGATGAAATGGAAGGAATATGACAATTATCTATAAGTACTTAACTATACTAACACAAATTAAAGGATGGTATTTAAAGTGAAAAAAGTCAAGGGAGGAGTTGTCACCCAAAATAAGACTACCTTTTTAATAAGTGTTAAGAAAAATACCTGAATCAAGTTAGAAAGTAATGATCTTTTGAACCATGATTTTTAAATGTTTAACAATTAATTTCCTGAATGCCAATATGGGATAGTATGAAATAGTGCTAATATAAATAATGAATTGGGTAACTGTGATTTTATAGATCTTTAAAGATGAGTATTTTCATTGCAGCCTTAGCTCTGAACTACTTTCTTATATTTTTGATAAATAGATACCTATTGTCTTTAGGGGGGTTTTGTACTTTTATTTTTATTGAGTTAATGCGATAACTCAGAGATCAGCAAATCCTGTTTTTTTATAGGCCCACAAGCTAAGAATGAGTTTTGCATTTATAAATTGTGGAGAAACATAAAAAGAAGAACATTTTATGGCATGTGAAAATTATATGAGATTCAAATTTCAGTGTTTAAAAATAATGTTTTATTAAATTATAACCATGCTCATTCATTTGCACATAACCTGCAGTTACTTACACAACAGCAGAGTTGAATAGTTGAAACACAGATTATATGTCTCATACAGTCTAAAATATTTACTCTCTATTTAAACAGAAATGTTTGCTGAGTCCTGCTGTAACTGGTTAGTGTGTCAAAATAACGTTGACGTAGGAATGGTTATAATGGAGTTTGTGAAATTTCTTCATTTTAAAGCTTGAGAAAAGAAGCCTGCTCATTTTTCTGAGGATGGTTTCAGATTATTCTACAAGGAAGCATATGTTTGGAAAGGTTGATCTCCTCAAATTGTCTACCTTTACATTTTTATTTTCTTCTTTTTTATTGTCTTCTCTAGCTATTCTCTCTCTCTCTTCACATAGATTTCCCCCTCTACACACACACATACACACAAAGTCTTCAAATATGGAACTCTAATGTGGATAGAATATAGATTATAAATTTCTCTTTTATTGGAGGCTCATTTCTGGGTTTTCAGAGTACAAAGATAAATCTCATTATTGCTGTCTTAAATGTTATATAAAATATGTTATTAGAGTATTTTCATTTAACACATTGCATTTTTCTATTTATTACTTCATTACGTCTTAACAAAGATATTTCCCCTGAAGACCATGATGAACTTTTGATTTTTGCTAAATGCCCTGTTTGGCCTCACCTAAAATCATATACCTTCTATGGGAAATTTTATACAACTGGAAAAGATACACTGACATGATCAAGTAATATATCATACCTTAAAAATCTAAATGGTATTTGAATCGAATCAGCTAACTTTGAGTGGGGAAGAACAGATGAAACATTAGTCCCTAGATAAGTAAATATTTAATAGTCCTTAGGTGAGCAAACAGTTTGTAAACTCTACTTACTTTAAGCAAATTTGAGTGTCTCTTGATTCTTTTATGTAGAACATTGTTTGAGCCTTCCTTGTTTGGCATTTTGGCATTTACTTATATTAATAATATTCATTTATTTACTATTTCATTTATAATAATTATGTAACATCTGAGTATCTTGGTAGATGATGTCTTATAAATATGACCAGACTACAATAATGATGAAGATAACAGTAAGTCAATTTTAGGATTATGTCTTTGGACTAATTTTGAGTAATTTTGCTACTTTTCACTTTATTATTATTCTCTTAATGTAGTTAGTCCAATTCTAAGGTTTCAGTTATAAAAATAAGAAAAAATGGCCAAGCGCAGTGGCTCACGCCTGTAATTCCAGCACTTTGGGAGGCCGAGGCGAGTGGGTCACCTGAGGTCAGGAGTTCAAGACCAGCCTGGCCAACATGGTGAAACCCCATCTCTACTAAAAATACAAAAATTAGCCGGGCATGATGGTGGGTGCCAGTATTCCCACTTACTCGGAAGGCTGAAGCGAGAGAATTGCTTGAACCCAGGAGGCGGAAGTTGCAGTGAGCCGAGATCACGCCATTGCACTCCAGCCTGGGCAACTGAGTAAAACTGTCTCAAAAAAAAGAAAAAAGAAAAAGAAAAATCTATCTTATCCTGTGCTTTAAACAAAAAAAAAATCTCATGATATTAATAAAATCACCTGCAGTGGCCTAAGACATTATTTAGAATGGAAGTGACCCATTTCTGAGATGTTTAATGTGCACCATAGAATTGCCCTCCTCGGAACTGACTTTAATTCAAAGATAAAGTACTAATAAAATATCTCAAGTAAATTTTCCTAGCAATAGAAAATAGAGAACTGAGTAAATTTTAACAATGACAACACTCTCAAACTGTTTTGAAAGATAAAGTATTTCAGTTTTATGGGCATAGATATAGACACAGAACAAACATACACAGCAAGATTTTCTTAGAACTAGCATTTTGCTAAAGAAATTCAGATATGTGTATGGCTGAAAAATGTGTAATTTCTGAACATGTATAGAATTTACCATATTTTCAAAAGTACCTCTAAGCAATAAGTGGCTATGATACTTTTTAGCACAAATCTTTGTGATAGTTTTAAAAATTCTGAGCATTATTTCATCAGTTCAGTTTTTTAAGATAGAAGAAAAAGGGTTTGTATATTCATTTATTAAATAAACATATATTGAGCACCTACTACATTCTGCTATGCTTGGCACTGGAAATACAGTTAAAGAACAAATCTTAGATAATAAGTGCATTTGTGATTCTTCTACTGTCACCTTCTCCAGTACCTTCATTTCCCCACCGTACCTTTGTGTTTTGATACTTCCTGCAGTATTTGTAAATAGAGAATACATACTTAACAACTTCATCTTACATGGCATTGTGAGACAACCTAACGAGAAAAGAGTACACAGAATTGAACATGGCAGTGTGACAACGTAGAAAATAAGAACAGGGAAGAACATTATCAGTTCAGCATCATAAAGGTTAAACATTGTTGTAAGTATAAAATAGCTATTTTTAAAAATCAGTGATAAAATAGCTGTTCCAAAAATTCTGTGAATCATTCTGATAAAGGTTAAGTCTGTTGAAGAGTTGTGTGTTTAAGTTTTTATATTTTTATAGTGTTGCTATTGCCATTATATTGTAGAAAGTGCCTCAAAGCAATAAGTGGCAATGATACTTTTTCGCACAACTCTTTCTGATTGTAAGCTTTAAAATTCCTGAATGTTATTTCATAAGTTCAGTTTTCTAAGAATAGAAGAAAAGGGATTTGTATTTTCATTCATTAAATAAGCATTTATTGAGCACCTACTACATTCTGCTGTGCTTGGCACTGGAAATACAGTTAAAGAACAAATCTGATAATAAGTGCATTTCTGATTCTTCTACTGTCATCTTTCTTCAGTGGAGAAAGAGAGGTTCAGTAATACCAAAAATGGAATAGTTGAAACAGGAAAAAAGAATCAGAATACTGGCTTTGGTGCCCTCTTTAATGAATACTGTGAACGTGTATGGTAGAGTTATTCTATAAACAACCTCCCATGTAGTTCACTAGTGTTAAGCCAGTGAAGATCAGTGCAGTACCGTAAGAAAAATTGTCCAGCGTTCTGCTTTCTTTCTTAAATGAGGATCTTCTCAGCAAGATCATACCAGATTCTGAACAGAGGGAGTCATCTCCATCATGGATTTTTTTTTAGCAAGGTATTTTTTGTCACAAAGTTTTCCTTCAAATAACTTGAGTCTTGACATGTTTTCAAACTCAAGTGTCTGCTTATAAAGCTGTTTTATTATCTGGCCAAGTGTGTTGGTGATGGAGCCATCTAAACCCTCTGTGACCCTTACTATGCTATCCTTTCCTCTTTAACAGTGTTTTCTTTTCCCCACTGCAAAACCAGGCTCGGCTTCCCTCGTGCTCATCTACCTATAGTGTATCTGAGGTATATTTTGCACGTGTTTTCTTACATGGTCAATAACATGCTCGCCCTCACCATTTTTCTCATTTTATTTTCCTTTCGCCTTAATTTATTTTGCCTTGCACTTTGCACTTGCCTGAAAGGGATGAGGATACCAAAGGGGGAAAATTCACCTGTTTTAGGGGGAAATTTCTCTATTTTTATGAATGATGCACTGTTGTCTGAATAACTTTTTTTTGGCAGTCACTACATCACATTGAAATAACTAAAACCCAGATAGCCAACTTGATTGCTGTGACTACCTTTATTCCATAATGACTCTTTTGAATTAGGTAATTTATTATTAAACTCAAATTGGCTAAAGGCAAGATTCCAGTTTGTATATCTATATATGTCTGTGTCTGATAGCTGAAGATTTGTATTCAATTAGTGATTGTTGTGTCTCATTAACCACAGACATAGGAAAACATCCAAAATTGATTATTAAATAGAAAATAAATATACATCTATTTTATATAAAATAAAAGATGTATCCCTTTTTTAAAATCTCATTAGATGACTTTAATAATTTTTTGCTACTTATATTTTCCTAAGATTCTTGTAATCTAGAAGAGATTAACAGTAAAGAGATTCATGTTCTTTTAGTAAAATATTTTACATGAAATTTGGCCTATTTTCCTTGTCTTTTAGGAGGTTTAATTTTTTATCCTTACTGTGTTAAACTATAGAATAAATGAGTTTTCTTGTTTTCAAAAAGCAGATTTATTGAAATATTATTAACAGACTTTGAATATCCATTAAGTCTCCTTTCAAAGCAGGGGCACTGTTTGAGTAGCTAAGAAGAAAGAGTATGTACCTTGAAATATGACAGGTAAATAAAAGAACTTCAGGCCAGGTGCAGTGGCTCACACCTGTAATCCCAGCACTTTGTGAGGCCGAGATGGGTGGATCACTTGAGGTCAGGAGTTTGAGACCAGCCTGGCCAACATGGTGAAACCCCGTCTCTACTAAAAATATAAAAAATTAGCCAGACGTGGTGGCGCACACCTGTAATCCCAGCTACTCGAGAGGCTGAGGCAGGAGAATCACTTGAACCCGGGAGGCAGAGGTTGCAGTGAGCCAAGATCGTGCAATTGCACTCTAGCCTGGGCGATAGAGTGAGACTTCGTCTTAAAAAAAAAAAAAAAAAAAAAGGACTTCAGTAGCCTATGAATTTTAAGACCTTCATTCTTTTTTTACAACATAATTTCTACATGTATTTACTTTGTATAGGCCACTGTAGCTACCATATTAAAGCCAGTATTATCAGCTTAATTCTGATTGCAGAAATATTATCTCAGAATGTCATCCCAAAGAAAACCCTTGAAAGATAGTACTGTTTAAAATACGAGGTAGTATATGCAGAACCAGAGGCAGAATACCATCTGCAGATCTCAAATTTTAAGAAAAAACCAAAAGAAATAGCATGACAAACCCATAGCCTCACAAAGTTGAATTTATTGAGTCAATAGAATTGCAGCTATCTTCTTCAATTTTTAACTTTGCAAGTTATAACTGTGAGATTTTTTTCTCTTAAAACTGATTTCCTGGGGAGTTAACTTCTTGAAACATACCACTAGGGAGAAGCAAAGAAAAGAAAGCCAAATGAGCTATTTTTAGTATCAACAAAGACATTTGAAAGAGAAGGTTGGTATCATCTCATCACCACATTTTCTATAGGTCTTTTCTTAATTCCCAAAGATTATGAGTGCTAGTGTAAAAAATATATAACCCATTTCTTTTTGCCACTTCATCCAGGCAATTCTCCATTTCCCATGAGAGTGTGTAAGAAGTCTACCATTGGCATCATCTCCAATCACAGCCTACAGCATCCATCAGGGTATTACTTTCTCTATGACAGCATGTGTGCAGGAGGGCTCTCACGTTGGAATGTGGAACTGGCTTCTTGGGGGCATTATGTATGCTGTGGCATTTGCACCATGGCACTCAGCTCTTAACTCTGGCTTCATCTAGATTTGTTTCTTTCATTGTGACACATGGGCTTTCTTTATTTGTCATGAAGTGTGTTTCTCTTTCTGTCACTCGTGGTAGGGTTTCTCTCTTTCACTCAATGCCACATCTCTGTGGTCTCCATAGGTGCTGTTTATGTTTAATTTATGATGCTATAAAGACCAATAAAATGAAGAACTCCTTAAGTAATATTCGTGATAATCCTCTGCCTAGAAATAATTGTTTCTTTTTAGTCTTAAATTGGTAAATATTTCACAGAATTTTAGACTGTAAACCTTAATAATTAAAATTTCAAGGAATATTCTTCTTAGCTTTCAATTTTTCATTTGGAAACCTCTTGACAGGATCATTGGTACAAAGTACAGTATTTATTTTATAGCATCACTATGGAGGTAGCCAAACCTTCCATGGCTCGATCTCTTCTTTCCCTTACATTTACATCATCATCTTCATTTACCTTCACTATTGTAGAAATTAAGTCTCCAATCCCTAATGTAGCACATTGGTTTACCAATTGCATATCACTATCTTCTGTGTCATTCATTAGATGAAAAAAATAAGCCTTGCTCAAAAATGAACCTATCCATGAGTTGTATAGGAACAAGATTTATAACCTCAGCTGGCTGATACTATTTAGCAAAAACATTTCTCCACGTAGTTATGGTCCCTTTGTAAAAAAAAAAAATATATATATATATATACACATATATATATATACACACAATTATTTTACTTGTGATAAGCTTTGTTTTTGATATCTCATTATCAATTAACCTTCATAACAGCCTTGTTTGGGGTAAATATTAATGTCATCCTCATTTTAAAGATGAGGAAATTGAGACGCAGAGAGGTTAACTATCTTGCCGATCATAAAGCTAGCAAGTGAGTGGCAGAAAATTGTCTTTTCTTAAATACCATGCTTTCTCCTGTTAAGAAGTTGTTAAAAGTCATTAGCTCTGTGACTAGCATGTAGTAGTCTTGTATTTTCACTTCATCCATTTACTTTGTTCAGGTTGATTATATAGTTTGGGGTATATATTTTGAGAAGATGCACCTATAAGATACAAAACTTTAATTAATACAAAACGTTAGTAGTGTGTATTTTCACTTCATCCATTTACTTTGCTCAGGTTGATTACATAGTTTGGGGTATATACTATGTGAAGATACACCTATAAGACACAAAACTTTAATTCAAGAAAATGTTAGACATCTAACATTTATGGTTATATAATTTATTGTCATGTAATTTATTGTTATGTAATTTATTGTTATTTTTCTCTTATTTAGTCATTTGATAAATATTGAGCTACCTCCTATGCCTTATTTAATTATAATCTGCCAGTTATTTCTTGGCCTTTGGAATTGGCTTTACGTTTAGAATACATAAAATATTGTGAATGTAATGAGATCAGTGTCTCATACAGTTTTTCATCCCTTCAAGCAAAGTGAAAAAAAAAGAACTCATCTTTCACGTTTCTAACTGATTTTCAACTTTGTTCCAGCAGTGTTGTAGCAGAGTTCCCTTTTCAAATCCTTTGAAAAGATTGCTTCAGAATTCCCTTAGTATAAACCAAAGCCAGAATTAATACTTTCTTCTGACAGAAACTGAATTCCTTCTGACTTATTTGAGAAGCTGGAATATATACTAGATATGAATTTATTATAATTTGTAACACAATATCTAACCCAAAGAAAATTAATAAACATCCAAGTTGTCATGCTTTTACTGGTCCAAATTGAACCCTTTACAGCCTTATCTTTAATGTCTTAGATTTCCCAGTAGCAAGGTTGATTTAGATAATTTGACATTTAGATGCTAAATAATTTATTTCCTGTTGACTAGACAGGGACTGAAAATTGTGTTTTTATTTAATGCTTAAGAACTTCTAGCTACCTAAAGGAATGATGGTTTTAAAGTTGTAACATGCAAAATAGTTGCCCTTTGAACTCTTAGACACTATTAGGACACCAATTCTGATCTAAACAAACTTGGACTGCCTAACAGTTTTGGAGCTTTTGCAAACAGAAGTTTCAGTTAAATTGCAGTGAGTAAGTCTACATATTCAAGAAAAGAAGGGAGAGAGGAAAAAAGGAAGAGAAGAAAGGTAAATGAACTTTAAACACCATACCATTTTCTATTTCAAAAGAAAAAATAGGAACATTTTTTAAACACCACAGAACCACAAACTGTTTAAACTGGAAGAAACTGTAGCCAAAAAATAAAGATTCTATACTGTGAGATAATCACCTAAGATGTTCTACTATATAAAATCTCATTTAGAAAATCTTTAATAATGATTTATTACTTATTTCAATATATTTATCTACAGTGCTCCACCCTTTCATTCACATGTATTATTTTTATGCCATTTGTATACTATAGTTAGAAAACTGGAGATAGTGTGAAGAAATCTTAGAATTCTATCTTTTGAAAACACTACAACTGCTGCTATTAAAATTTATTGATTCCTACCTCACTTTCAAATTTGTAGAAATGAACTGGAGTATATAAATTGTCTTGTTAAAAATAAAATTAGTATATATCTCTCTCTCTGACATACATATTAGTAGCTAATCCATAGAGATAATGGGAAAACACATTACATTCTGTTTGACAGGGATATTTGATATATCCATCTAATTAAAGCATTCTTTAAAAAGAATTGAGAAGAATTCTGTCTACTTGGGCATACATTTTTAAATTTCCATAATAAAAATATTTTTAAAACACACTATTGTAGTTGGCACTAGCGAATTTCTGCTTATCCTTGTATATTGCCTCATATAATGATCATTTACAATATAAAAGAGGTCATCAGTGAAAATAGGGCAAGAAAAATTTAAAGTTTAAGATGAGGGAATATTAATGGATGTGTAACAAGTTTAGAAAGTTCTTAAGCTCCCTTAAAACTAATATATAAACTATATGTATCTTTGAGAGAGAAAGGAGATATGTATATCCTCTCCTTCATGGAAGTAGGAATGAAGAGAGTCCATAAAGTACTTATGTGAAGTCCAGCTTTGTATATACACAGATTAGCTTATCATCATGATGTTCTAAATTTTCTTTCCTATGTTCTAGAGAATTTACAAATGAAATAGATTAATTAGACATATAGCTAGTTAGAGCCCAAATAAATGATGGCACATTATAATATGATATGTTATAATGTCATATTATAATGTGATAGCAGTAAAATGACAGCTCACCTGCATTTATACTTATAGTTCCAGCTGCTGTTTGAATGTCTTTTTGTAATATCAAACTCAGTATGTCCAGCTCTGCTTTCTAAATACTTCTTTCAATGGTAATGTTCTTAAAGTTTCCCTGCATAGAAATCTTCTAGTTATCTTTTACTCTTTCTTGTTTTTCATCTTTGACATTTAGTGTGACATTAAATTTTGTCATTTTTGTTATTTCTCCTTTTGAATTATCTCCTAATCCTTACTTCGGATACATAAATGAACTTTGTTGCCACGTCTACTTTAAAATCCTGGCTTTGGCCAAAAATAAATAAATAAATAAATAATGAAAATGGCAGCTTTCTATACATTACAGAGGTTTAAGAAATGTGAAGCAGCTCATGGTCATATATTGCTATGGTTCATCTCCATGGATTTACACAGATTTGGTTTACCACCAATCCTAGTGTAATTTTTAAAGACTCAAATAAGTATCTTCTTGACCAGCAACAAGGCAAATTTTCTTTTGCTCCTTTTGGGTTTTACTCCTAAACATGCATTTGGGTGAAATGTATAGCCTAGACTTTGGCAAGTAGAATTATCAATTTTCCCTGGTCACCTTTTTTCCCTTTCAAAGCATTTCCTTCCCAACCAGTGTTCTTCAGCTAAGCCACAGAACACAGGAAGTAATATGTGTAGCTATTTTCTTAAGATCCTGTAAAGATGTTGACATTCTATATTCAAAAAACAGAAGTTTATTCATTACACACAATGAATATAAATGCATTAAGGCTTAATTCTCTCCCAGAATTGAGGAAGATATAGTAATCCCATCTTTTAAGTAGCTCAGTACTTCTTGAAGTCATTTGTTATTTAAAGACGCACTTGAAATTTCATGTTTGGAAATTCTTTGTGTTGCTTTTTTTTTTTTTTTTTTTTTTTTGGATACCTAGAGTCTCTGAATAGCCTGTGCTTACCATGTGATTTTAGGGCTTGAGATCGTGAGACATATTTTTATTTTTTTTAAATAACCTCTTTATTTTTCTGAAAGAAACAGATTTAATCAGCTTCTCACCATATTCTAAAAATGTTCCTGCTTGGCAGTTATTAACATTTTGTCGGTTTTCTTGTACTGTTGAAGCAGACTTACTGAAGATCAATTTAACATACTGTTTAAAGTTTGGGGCTAGATTTGAATCCTAATCCTGGATTTGAAACCCAACCCTGTGCCTTACTAACTTTGTGACCTTAAGCAAGTTAACTTCTCTGCACCTCATATTCCTGTAAAATAGGAATGATACCACCTTTTGGGGTATCTTAAGTATTTAACAGCTTAATATTACTTGGTGCAATGCCTGATATGTGTAAGTACTCAATAAATATTAACTATATTATTATCAGTATTTATTGTTATATTAAAGGTCCAAAGGTAAAGTTATTTTTTGTTTCAACTAACTCTTTCAGATACATTATCTGTTAGGTTTTTCATAGAGTAAAATACGTTTTATGTATAGTGATTAGCCACAACCTGATTGAAACAAGTATTAGCTCCACTATCAACTTAACCTGACATCAGCACTTGTACCATTCCTGCCTTACTTCTTTTTCCTAGTCATTGTAAAGGATATAGAATATGAAATACATGAACACTTAATGTCTTTCTTTTCATTCTGCCAGGTGACTATCTTCTCCAGTTTTTCAATTGTCTTTTTCTCCAAAATCACTTTCCCATTTAGTGTCTGGATTAGTTATGCACATAAACACACCCCAAAGATGACTAATAGGAATAGTGGTTTTTTATTATCAGTAGTATATTGTCCTTGTATTCTATTATATGTCATACACTACAAGCAATCACCAGTTTATAAGTGGGCAAAGCACTTCCTCACAAAAAGTAACTTTATAGTGACTAGATTTCTAGACTAGTGTTCATATAACTCTTAATTAGCTGATATTACACTATTAGTAACTGAATTGAGATTTAAATTGACATATATGGATTAATGTAGGAATCTATCTACTAATTGTAACATTATTTCTTAGGAAAATGCACTTTAACTTCTAACAGAATCCAGCCTACTTCAAGGCATTTTACCTGACAAATTCTGAGTTGCAATGAGATCTACATCCTGTTTTCTTCCTTGGACAGCTCAGTCTTCCTTACAGTACTCATTGTAGTGGAAGGTAAAGGGAGGAGGAAACTCTAGAAATTGGGACAAGGACTTCCCCACAGCATCATCAATCACTGTTTGTTGAAGGAGTGTATGAATTGAATGTTTATATTAAAGATGTATGCCAATATCATTAAATTTCAGTTAACTTTATATAGTGTGATATTATTAGTCCTAGATTACTTCTTGCTGCCTCTTCCTGGTAAATGATGATATTTCTGAATGATTCTTTATTCATTTGTTAAGTGCTACTTATTAAATACCCTCTGTTTCTTCATATCTTGTAAACAAGATATAGATCTTTGAGTCAGCAGAGCAAAGTTAAACAGATATGTGACTGACTGTGATTAAAAGAAGTAATCATTTCTACTGCCGGGTCTGTGTCGATTTAATCAGATGTGGTGAGCTATAATTGCATTTCTCTTTGCCCCAGTTTACCCGTCTCTAAAATTTGAATAAACTAGACCTTTATGTTCCTCAGAAGGGATATTCTGGTGAAATTTCAGAAAATGGAAGGGAGTCATGACAAAGCTAATTCATCATGAATGTAAAAACAGAATTTTTCAGGTACAGTATGAGAGGAATTATATCTTGTTATCCTGTGTGCATTTTACTTTTTACATGAAAATTCAGTCAGAGAGCCAAATATGTTTAGAAAACATACTCTGAGCTTAAAAGACCATAATGGTTTGGATGTGCTGTGTAAATGTAAAACTTGAAATTGATCTTGTTTTGTTATTTTTCCTTGGTTGTTTATACTTTCAGTTTTGCTGAAACTACCAGTAGGTCATAATAAGTCAGCAAGCATTTATTTAACATCTATACATTGCTACAGAGTAGATATTGCCATATTAAGCATATAGAGAATGTTGCAAAAATTAAATATGGGGCCTTAATGATTTTACAAATTGAAATATTGTCCATTTTTTAAAAAATCATAATGTATGAATTCAGGCTATGTTGTTCTAAAATATGACTAGAGGAAATGTCTTTGGCTTTGAAAACTAAAGGTCTTTACTAATCGGGTGAAAAAAGTCTGTAGGAAAATCACCATTCTTGAGTCCTGTGTTCACAGAATAGTCATGAGTGAGTTATTTTAAATTTCACCAAATTATTGTTAAGTCACAAAAAAAGAATTTGGTAAAGGCAGATTTTCCTAGAATAGACTTGAGTTTTTGGAACCTTATTACATAACTTTAAAATGCCGTAATACCTCTTTAGACCACATTTTTCTCTATCAGAGATGGTGTCAGGTTGGTAGTAAGGCTTATTTAATTAATTTTCCAAGTTCAGACATCTTGGAAAGGAGAGATAAAGGCAAGGCATGACATTACTCTTTATAAACATGACTTACTGGAGGAGAATGCAAATTTTCATCCTTTAAATCATTTAATCGGCTTTATTGAGTTACCTAATATATTTGGGTGATAGAGGAGACCCTGAAAGAAAGAGGACCTCAGGAAGCATTATAGGTCAGAATGAGTAGCATATGCACAGCAAAAGTAGTTTGTGAAAGGGAATTTGGTCTTTTTTTTTTTTTAATTCACTAAGTTGAATTTAAGGGCATATTTTGAGTCTTATGGAATCCATTTTAAACATAGTGATAGCATTTCCTGTGCATTTTTAGCCACTTAATTATGTGAATAAATGCTTGCTACCCTTTACAGTTGCAGCTGTCATTCTCCAAAGTAGATTCATCCACAATATTTACAGTCGTAAATCCTAAATCTATTGTATATATTTAAGATTTTTTAATAGTATTCTTTCACCATTAGGCAGCACCTCCTTGAGAAAGAATTTACATTTTTATTCTCATTTTTAACAAGAACTATACAGCTAAGATTTATAGAGAACTTGAGGGCTTTTTCTACAATGTACTCCATCATCAGAAGTAGGCTAAATTAGAAATAGAAATGGAGAATATATGGTGATGTCTTTTCCATTAGCTTTGAAAAATTCAACTTGTATAGTTACATGTATTTGATGTCAGAGTATTTTATAAGTATGCCTGATTTATCATACTGACTTGCTTCTTTTTAACTTAAATATTTTGGGAACACAGACTCATGTTTCATTTTTCAGTGAGTTATTTTATGTCCATGAATAAGCGTCAATGCATTGGTTGATAAGTTGAAATCACCTACACCCTTTGAATATGTGTTTTTGCATCACTTTCGAATCTACCTTTTAAAGTGAATTTGACTTAATTTCCATGTGACTTTTATTAGTAGAGAAAGCAAATAATTATGAAACACAGTAAGGGTTATTATATAAAATAATTTTATTTTACAATAAAACAGTTGGATGTGGATTTTACCTAGAAAGACTAATATTATATATATATTATATTTCTCCCTTGGAACTGACAAGGGAGAAAAAGTAGGTATATTGGTACTCAAGTGTTTTGTATTTTAAGAGGAAAAAAAGAATAAAAAAGGGGCAATGGAAAAAAGAGAAGAGAAGGAAGGAGAAAATAAAAGGAAGGGAGGCAATTACCATAGTTTTTCTTCTTTTTTGACATCAGTATTTAAATAATAGGTTACTTGTTCTAACTTTCCCATTTTACATCGTTGCAGAGCATAAGCAGCAGCTTGTAGAACAAAGGTGAATTCAGAAAGACCTTAAACATATTTTTGGATTAATGTTTCATGAAACCCTGAATGGAATTCAGATTCATGTGGTCTTTTTATAGCCATAGTTTTCAATTATATTAGCAATTTTCCTTGTCCTATTTCTGTCTGCCTCAGGATACCAAAAAAAGGGTCTATTTTCGAAATTTTGTTCATACCATTCTGCACCCAGTATTGCCTGGAGTCATGAAAACCCAGCTTGCTGCTATTTTTTCTCTTTGGCAACTTGCTGCTATACCAACACTCAGCAATTAAATCTAATTCTGTTTGGGCTACCATGCTTAAATGTTCTTGTTGAGAATCATGGCATGAACTAATGCATGGCTCTAAAAAGGCTACTGTTGTGTGTCTGCACTGAAGGAAAAATTCCATAGCAATCTAGCCCCTTTGGATTTTATACTGAAGCTGTAGATTAATGGTGAACTTCTGTGTAATGCTTGACAAAGAAGGGAAATCCCTAGAAATGAAAGTGTGAACTGAGGTAAAAATGGTCTTCAGTCAGATGCTGCTAAATTAATCACTAGTAATCATCAGTTGTGGAGGTTAGGAGTCCCTTCACAGAATGCACTTGGGTGGAAGAGTAGGAAAGAGAAAAAAAGGATGCCAGTGAGACCTGAAAGAGATTATATGAGGAAATGTTGAGTCCATCTTCATTTGTGTGCTGTCTCAAACATTTAGCTCAGAGTCTGAAATACTTTTGGTCAAATTAGGACTGATTTTAATTGTCTTATTATACAATTTCACAGCCTCATCATCCAGCATAAAATATATCAAAAATGACTTAATTCCCTCATATCCATGACAATTCCAAACTGTTTTTAATAAACTTTATAATTGCCTCCAATATTTTAAAATTTATTAGGAACACTGGTTTCATGTTTAAACAATCAGCATCCTTTATTAGTTCCCTTAAGCATTCATCTTATTTTAATGTATACAATTTTTACTTGGTAGAAAATAAACCAGATGTTATTTTTCCAAGTGGAAAGAAATCTTTTTTCTTTCCTTTTACATTACAGTTTCACCTTGAAAATATAAGAAGCAAATGAATGGTCCCAAAATTTGGCATTTATTTTTCTAAGTCATGTTTCTGGGCTATGAGTTACTGAATTTTGCTTAATTTATTAATGTAAATACAGTAATTGAACCACACAACTGTCAGTTCCTCCATCCTTTGATATGTGGGCTGATGAAATATAAATAAACAAAAAATGTTGTGTGACCAGCAGCTCTGGATCATCTAAATGACCTCCTTTAGTTCATTTCCCTTTCCACATATCAAGTTTATCTATAACTTCACCAATTTATTAGTTTTAGAGCCATGTAGCACAGTTCAAGAGTTCAAAGGGAAAGTCAAAATAATCTGGGGTTATTCATTCAACTTCAACTGCTACCATATGGCAAAGGTCTCTGTAGCCATTCTTACTATTACAGGTCAATGACAGTAGCATTTCTAAAGTGCTCTTGTGCATGTAAGTACCACTCCTTCGGTCAACCTATGTCACTGTGCTTTCACTTGCAATTATCTAACTTTCAGACATAACTGAACTCTATTTCTGATCTGAAATGTTCCCCAGCTAGAGTTATCTACCTGGCCTTTGCTTTATAGAGTCATATGTCCTGGTAGCTGCAAATTAATGATGAATGAAAAAGAGGGAGGAGTGATGGAAGAGAGAGAAGGGAGGGATGGAGAAAATAAAAAAGGGAGGAAGGAAACTAGACTCGTTTTTCATTCCTTTTTTACTTCAGCATTTAAAGGGTAGGTCACTTGTTCTAACTTTCCCATTGTAAGTAGTTGCAGAACATAAGCAGCAGTTTATAGAACAAAGGTGAGGTAGTAAAGGAAGTCATACTGTGTATGTGCTAGAGGGAATCATACTATGTCATTTGCTTTAAAAGCTGTGTCTGAAATCGCTTTGGCTTCCTTTTAAACATCCCACCTGCAAGGAGGAAATATTTGCAACTGCTCTTCAGATTAGTCGACCAGGCGTGGTGGCTCATGCCTGTAATCCCAGCACTTTGGAGGCCAAGGCGGGCGGATCACGAGGTCAGGAGTTCAAGACCAGCCTGACCAACATGATGAAACCCCATCTCTACTAAAAATACACAAAAAAATTAGTTGGGTGTGGTGGTGCGTGCCTGTAATCCCAGCTACTCAGGAGGCTGAGGCAGGAGAATTGCTTGAACCCGGGAGGTGGAGGTTGCAGTGAGCCGAGATCGCTCCACTGCACTCCAGCAGGTGACAGAGTGAGACACCGTCTCAAAAAAAGAAAAAAGAAAAAAAAAAGATTAGTCATGATGTGGGTCAAAATACCTGTCTTTTCTCTTACACACATCTTTTTTTAAAATTTATTTATTTATTTATTTATTTAAGACAGGGTTTCTCTCTGTCACCCAGCCTGGAGTGCAGTGGCGCAGTCTTGGCTCACTGCAACCTCCGCCTTCTGGGCTCAAGCGATCCTCCCACCTCAGCTTCCCAGATAGCTGGGACTACAAGTGCATGCCCCCATGCCCAGCTAATTTTTTGTGTTTTTAGTAGAGACAGGGTTTTTGCCATGTTGCCCAGGCTGGTCTTGAACTTCTGGGTTCAAGCAATCCTCTCACCTCAGCCTCCCAAAGTGCTGGGATTACAGGTGTTAGCTACTGTACCCAGCCCTTTTTAAATTTTATAAGCTATACCTTTTGATTACTGCCTATTGACTTAAAAGACAGTTCCAGATCAGGGGTTATATTTGTGCTTTTACAGTCTGCTTTATGTTTTGAAGGTTGAAGTAAAAAATGTGAAGAGAAAAAAATTGCAAACAGAAGAATAATCTAAGAATCCCTGTTCCATTACTTATTACCTCATTTACATTAACCCACTTTCTCACTGCAGTTTCCTACACTTTATTTTTTCTTGTGCTTCTTTTCCCTTTCCTTGTGTGTTTGTTTTTTTCATTAGAAATCACCTGTCTCTTTATTTCTAGTTATTTCTTTTCCTTTCCTTTTTCAATGAAAGTAATAACCCATTTCAGCCACTGAGAAAGAGTATGAACCTTAATAATTGTTATTAATTTTTGTGTTTCAGTGTGCTTCAAAGGAACAAAATGAGCTTGGCATAGCTGCTTTTATGTTCTGGTACACTGAGCCTAAATTCTAGGCAAGTAGCTCACAGGAATATAGGAGAGGTAATCTGGATGAAACTAACATAAATAAATTAGATACAATATTTCTAACTGTAAAAATTTTATGCATCATATAATGACCCTGTCAAAAGACTATTTATAAATAGAATATGCCTTTTTCAGCTTGAGTTAAAACATAACGTTAATGGGTCTAGGGTTACAGACTTGTGAATCTAGTTAGCTTCACAGTTGTTCTATGGTAGACTGTAAACTGATCCCAAATGTCTTAATGTAGATGTGTATGCAGGGGAAGGACTGAGAAACAATGATTCACAGGGAATCTATACACAATTGAGTAAAACTGATTTGAACAGATAGTAAAATGGTCTGTCTATATTATACTAAAAGGTTTGAATTTTATAATTTTTTGATCAAATGGCATTTTCAATGAGAGTTTCTGGGGTTTTTTATTTGTTTCGTTTCTCTTTTTGTTTTTTTAGACACCCAGGTTGGTGTGCAGTGGTGCAATCTCAGCTCACTGCAACCTCCACCTCCCAGGTTCAAGCGATTCTCCTGCCTCAGCCTCCCGAGTAGCTGAGATTATAGGCGCACACCACTGTATCTGGCTAATTTTTGTATTTTTAGTAGAGATGGGGTTTCACCATGTTGGCCAGCCTGGTCTCGAACTCCTGACCTCAGGTGATTTGCCCGCCTCGGCCTCCCAAAGTGCTGGGATTACAGACGTGAGCCACCATGCCCAGCCGTGTTTTTCTTTTAGATAACTTTTGTATTGTTTTTCATACATTCAGTAAAGAATATAGATAAGCAAAGAGAAAATTAAAATTACCCTTCAGCTCCTCCCATGTTAACTGCTAGTAACTTTTATCAGAAAGAAATAATAAGGATGGTGAACTGAAGAAAAGAGAAGAGAAAGTAGGGAGTTCTACAGATAATATAGAGTAAATCAAGAATAGGCCGGGCGCGGTGGCTCACGCCTGTAATCCCAGCACTCTGGGAGGCTGAGGAGGGCGGATCACGAGGTCAGGATATCGAGACCATCCTGGCCAACACGGTGAAACCCTGTCTCTACTAAAAAAATACAAAAAATTAGCCAGGTGTGGTGGCGGGCACCTGCAGTCCCAGTTACTCGGGAGGTTGAGGCAGAAGAGTGGCGTGAACCTGGGAGGCAGAGCTTGCAGTGAGCCGAGATCATGCCACTGCACTCTAGCCTGGGCAACAGAGCGAGACTCTGTCTCAGAAAAAAAAAAAAAAAAGAAAGAAAAAAAAGAATAAAGAAACATATGTAAAACAAAGAATTACCAATTAAAAATTTCCTACATGGAAAATTTTTTAAAATTTTTCCAAGTAGGAATTTTTTAAAACATGTGGGATGTAAGAGTTGGAAAGCTCTAATGGATGAGTTTCTGCAGAGTTTGATACAATTATATTGCCCATATGATAACTGAGCGATGCAAGACACAGCAAAGCCACCTGAAGCAACCACAGGAAGGAAGCAAGTTGGTCAATGGTGCAACTGTCTAGGACAGTGGTTAGAATTTAATAGCATTCTCAGTTCAATAAATACTTAGTGAAGGAAAAAAATAATGAAAAAAATATATGGGTTGAAAACATTGACATTGTTTGTTTTTAGGATAGTGTAAATGGGTATTTAGATGATATCAAATTCTAAATTTGAGAAATCCAAGCTAAAGTGTTTTGGGGTATTGAAAGCCTAATGTAAATGTCCTTGGGAAAATTAGTTTCTTTTTTTTATAGTTCCCATTATTTAATGAAATGTTTCAAATGTTATATATAGTAAACAACAGATAATATAACAAACACCCATTTGGTAACCATTTAGATTTAGCACATTTTAATGTTTTACTATGATTTATTCAGATCTTTTGATATATTTTTAGGAAACTGAACAATTGTGACAAAGCTCAAATTTCCTTTGCATAGAATTCTCATATAAGAACAAAACAGAATATTAAAGGCCTGGCACAGTGGCTTATGCGTGTAATCCCAACACTTTGGTAGGCCAAGGCAGGAGAATCACTTGAGTCCAAGAGTTTGTGACCAGCCTGGACAACATAGGGTGACCCCACCTCTACAAAAAAAAAAAAAATTATCTCGGGGGGATGTCACATGCCTATGGTCCCAAGCTACTCAGGAGGCTGAGGTGGGAGGATCACTTGAGCCTAGGAGGTTGAGGCTGCAATGAGCTATGATGGTACTACTGCACTGTAGCCTGGACAGTAGAGTGAGACCTTGCCTCAAAAAAAAAAAAAAAAAAAAAAAGAAGGAAAATTAGGATTGTGTTCTTTCCACATATGGGGCATATGTTGACCCGGCATTTGAATAATGCTATATTTCCCAGGATCCTTTTTACTCCTCTTTCTCTCTTTCTGCTTATATTTATTTTCAAGTAACCTACTGGTTTATAGTATAACTTTAATGATTTTCAGTGTGTGCTATGAAGATAGAATACACAGACCCACTAAATATGTGTGTGTTGTGTGTATAAATACACAGATTTTATATATATATATGATCACTTCTGTTTGTTGTGCTCAGATTACAATAAAATAAACTGGTCAGAAGCAGGCAAGATGTCTCAAAACTACTCTGGCTAATCCTAACCAAACCACTGTGTCATACCTCTATACTAGAAATATATAGGAAATCAAAAGGAACCAAACTGGAATGCAAATGAAACAAAAATCACTAACACTGAACCAACGCACCTCCTGGCATTATTAATAACATTGTTCTGTCCCAAATGAAACTTCATATACTTTGGACATGGAGGTTAATGATTGCTAAAAAGAGAAAATCTTTATAATTAAGTTTTCTCTGGTTTGATGGTTATTCCATGTGATGCATCTTTCCATAAATTTTGAGAATGCCTCAACACTTATAGGGATAGATTTAACAGTCAGGAGAATACTAGCAAGTGTAGTAGCTATCATGGATCAATAGCATTATGAAATCATAGCTTTAATGCAGAAATTTATTTATGGTAAAACTTCAATAAACAACAAAAATTGTATTCTGTCTTTTAAGAGATGCCTTCATTGACTTTTATGAAATAGCAGATTTTTTCCCAAAAGGTACTTTTGTATCCCACTTTGCTGGAACCCTAAGTCTGAACACCCGTGTGTCTTTTTATTACCAATCTTTGGCCTTTCTGACCAATTACAACAGTCTTCTTTGATGTGGAAGAGGTTACAAATATTTCCAGGCTAGGAGGGATTGGGGAGAGTAATTTCAGTCTGGATTTCGGTAGTTTGTATCATAGTCATTATAGCCATTATTATTGTCACTTTCATCATTACCAGAAAAACATGTATTTGTCCTTTATACAATGTTGGATATGATAACAAATGCTCTACATGCATTAGCTTATTTTAGTCTCACAATAATTCTATGAGGTGGAAATTCAACAAAACATTTGAGCCTTTGCACACCTTTAGCTGTTTCCTCAGTCTGGAAAGTTCTTCCCCATGATCTTCATCTGGCTGTCTCAAATCTTAACTAAAATGATACTTATTCAGAGAAGTCTTCCTTGCTTACTCTTGTCTAAAATAGCTATACCTTATCACTACTTATTTTTTTATTCCATTACTGTATTTTATTTTCTTTATAGCACTAACCACTTTCTGAAACTATCTTATTTATGTACTTATTAGTTTAGGTGCTTATCATCTGTCTACTACTATTAGAATGTAAATTCCAAGATAGCAAGGTCTTTATCAATTTTGTTCATGTTTTACCTCCAGCACCTAGATAAGAGCCTGGCGATGGCTCTGGGCAACTGAGCTTAGCTCAACACATACTCTTTTTTATTATTATTATTATTGTTAATTTCTTTTTTCCACATATTTGTTCAATAATTGAATAGTATTATCTTGATTTTTGTAGATGTGGAAACTAATACTTGAAATAATTTAGTCAAGGTTATTTAGCTAGCCTAACTTCCTATGTTTTTCCTGCTGAAAAGAGGATTCGCTACATACACAAGTCTCTAGCTTTAACCGATCTAATTAGTGCATGTCTCTGGACCTACAGGTATAGGGCTTATGTTAAGAAAAAAATTTACATACATCTGAAATAATCTGACCTATATTGCTCATCCTGAAAATGAGTTATATATTATATTATTAAACTATACTTGTTAACTATTACTTGGTTAGATCATGAGAGGCTTGATTAACAACATAATGTACGCCATACATAGCTGTAATACTAGGCATCAGAATGCCTAGTTCTTATATATTTCTCGAAGAAACTTTTCTACACACTTTCTAAGCTCTTGCTACTTTACTAGTGCAGTATAGACATATATTTGTACATCTTTCATGTGCCTTATGAATGCTAGTTAAGCATTTAGAAAAATAAAGTCACAACTTTTTCAATCAATCTAAAATATGATTTAGAAAGGAAAACAATACAGCCACACTGAAATGAGTAAAGCATTAGGGTTTTTTTAATGATCAAATAGGTGATAAGACATGACATTTAAGAATAAAAACTAAGAATATTAAATCTAATTAAAAACTCAGTATTTCAAACTTCATGCTTAATGAAAACGAATGTGACTTTCTTCCAGAAGTGTCACAAAATGCATAATAATTACAAATACTCAATAATTCAAGTTTTTATATTATTGACTGTATCTATTCCTTGGCCTCTATTTTTTAGAATTAATCAATATTTTCTGAAAACTTCCTGTTCACATACTCACCTAAATTAATCTTACTTGATCTTACTTTTGAGAACTGTCAAAATCACACACACGCAAAACAAAAAAAAATCAGCATTTCTTATTACAGGCCTAGAATATCATCCAAACAAAAGGATAATAGTAGGAACAACAATATAGTAATAGCTAACAATATATACTGTTAACTCTGAGCTACTCTCTAAGCAAGCACTTTACATGTATCTCTAAGCAAGCACTTTACATGTATTCTTATTTTCTTTACAAATATCTTATGAGATAGATGTTATTATTATCTTCACTTATACGTGAAGTTATGACTTATACAGTGTTATACAGCTAATAATGGTAGAGCCAAAATTCAAATCTAGACAGTTTTTTTCCAGAATACTACTCCCCAAAGTTCTTTTGTTATACCATTCTCCGTCACCCCTACATTCAAATCCCTGTTCTCAGTGGTTCTCATCGCTAAGAGAAACAGTCAAGAGCAAAGAAGCAATGAAAATTCAAGTTGTGATTAGGAATGCAATGATTGTCATTGTTAGGTTAGAAAGGTGGAGTGATTGATAGTGTACAGATAATTAAGTTTGGAAGTCAAGAGAACCAAGTTCTATTACTACTTTACTGTATGACCTAAAACCAGTAATAATTCCTACCTTCTAACCTTTAGAATGAAGAGTAATTACTCTGTAAAATAATCAGTTATTCATCTTAAGATTGGGAAATAATGAATAATCTGAAATTCCTCTTAGCCAAAAATACTTCATTTAGCTTTATAATACATTATATAATTTGGGTAGTAATTTTTCTTCATATTTATGATCAACATTAACATTTTCAGAACAAGCACCAAACCAAAACGATTGTTGGTACCAAGAGGAGACCAGCCTGGGATTTGCAAAGTTTCCAGAGGTCACTGAACATGGTTCAACTTGGAATTAAAGCTTTATATAGGAAATACATTAAGAACATTTAACATTGATGCTTAAATTCATATTTCCTTGAGTCATGGTGATAACCAGTTCTAAAGAATAGAAAGTGTGTTCTACATATTATAGTATTTTCTTTAAGAACAAATAAGGAACTCACCAAGTTACCTATAAAGAAGCATAAACAAGCTTTGATTTTCAGTGGTAATTATAATTAACTTCACCAGCTATATAACCTGACACACTTCCGACTTCTTTAAGAATGGGTCAATACTGAAAAGGAAGTGTTTTTCACATTAACCTAGAACTTAGGAAAGCTCGGTGGAATTTAACAATGAAAATTTATATAACAGTGGGAAAACATTTAAGAATGGTCACCTGGAAAAGATTTATAAAATTGTTTTGCTTATAAATATTGTCTATTTGCCGGCATTCTCTTATGTTGTACATAGATTTAAAAAAAACAGCAGCCCAGGCGCTGTGGCTCAAGCCTGTAATCACAGCACTTTGGGAGGCCAAGGCAGGCAGATCATGAGGTCAGGAGTTTGAGACCAGCCTGAGTAACACAGTGATACCTCATCTCTACTAAAAATACAAAAATTAGCCAGGTGTGGTGGCGCACACCTGTAGTCCCAGCTACTCGGGAGGCTGAGGCAGGAGAGTTGCTTGAACCTGAGAGGCGGAGGTTGCAGTGAGCCAAGATCATGCCACTCCACTCGAGCCTGGTGACAGAGCAAGACTCCATTTCGGGGAAAAAAAATACAAATAAAAAATAACATTGCTACTCTCTATCAGTGAGCAATAAATGACTGAAAATTCAAAGAATAAATGGTTATGGATACATACACACGTGTGTCTGTTTTTATGTGTGTATGTGTGTGTGTATGGAAGTTCACCTTTGATTAGAGGTTTTTAAATGTGATTACTGTTAAATGATTAGTCCATCTGAACCAATGGGAAAAGCACAACTGAAGCAGAATTTTTTTTAACCCTGAGGATTTAATAACTTTTTTAAGCAACAGTGTTCCTTTTTTGTTTCTTGTTTCGGTCTATTAAATGGGCACTTGTTTAATTCAGTGACCAATTTTATATAATTTTCTTAAAAAAAGGACACCTTTTATATCTGATTTGATAAAAGACAGCAAATAGAGGTGGGAAAGGTTTCATATAGCTATAATATTCTGCAGATAAAAGGAGGCTTGGAAATTATCTGGCTCAGAGACTTTTAACCTTTTTTCTGCCATGGACCCATGTGGTACTTGGTCAAAGCCTACAGATATTTTTTTCATAAAAATATTTTTAAGTGTATAAAATAAAATATATAACATTAGAAAACCAATTCAAATCATGATCAAAATAACTTTTAAAACAAACTGCAATATAATAATAAATGCCTATTTTTAAATGCATTAAATAACAAACTAGGAGCAGATCTAATAACTACTATAATTTGAAATCATTATAAACATAAAAAGATATTTATAACCATTGAAGTAAAAGGTTCTGTTAATATTACTGTGATTTGTTGCCTGAGCTCATAATGAAAGAAGATAATAAATATTAATTAGATTTTTAAATATAAAGATTGTAATTTCATTTCTCTGTCCCAGTGAATGGACCTGTCTTTTACCCACAAGATTCTCTCAAGGGACCCATTGACCTGAGTTAAAACCCCTAGAAACATCCATATTTTGCAAATAAGAAAACCAAGACCCATAGAGAGGAGATAACTTTACTAAAATCATACAACACAGAATTAGATTAATCCTAGCAGAGCTAATCTCAGACCTTTACTCAGACTTTTTCTGTAGCTTTAGTCTAGAAGTTGGCAATTCATCTATTATTTGTCACTGATTCCTAGCATGATTTGTAGCAAATTCTTTATTCTTATTGTGCCTCAGATTCTACCTATATAAAATATATGTGACTTAAAATATTCATAAAGATAATAAGAACAACTTCAATTTCTATTTTATTTTTACTTACAATAGTTTTCACTTTCACATACATTACCCTACTTAATTTTCCCCATATTATGGATGAGGAAATTAAAGCTCTAAGTGTTAAATGTCACATCCAAGGTTACACAGCTAGGAAGAGGAAAGTCCAGTATTGGAAATCATACCATGGGACTCCAAAGGACATCCTCTTTATCATGCTGCCTTTCATGTCATAAAAAGCCAAAACTCTTTGAGTTCTTCAGTTGAATATGTGCTGTGATATCATAAATCTAATTAAACACATAAGAGCTATTATTAAACTCAAATAAGCCAAATACTTGCATCCTAATTTATTCCAAAAAGTGATGCATGAATGGAACCATGGGAAAAAACTTTTCTAGAACAATTATCCATTTGTGTTTAAGAAGTAAGAAGAGAAAGAAATAGAATGTAAGAGTCTAAGATTGTAGAGTTATTGGCTTAATGTTATTTAAATCAAACTTTTGCTTCTGTTTCTGGGTAGGCTAAAGAGGCAAGTAATCTGAGTAAACGGGTCCCTTTTTCTCCTTCCTCTTAATCTTATGAGTAGATGGTACTCAAAGAAGTTCATTCTTTCAGAGACTGATTACTCTTAAATAAGTTTAATAAGGTAGAAAAACTAAAGTCAAAATAAGCCATGATGCATCAAAAATTTCTATCATCTCTGTCATTACAGTGACCAGACCATGTAAGATATAAAACATCCTGCTCTCTTAGAAAATAAGGAATCTTCTTAACCTAACCTGAAACTCTTGGTATAGAAAACTTTTATTGGACTCCAAATGTCACTATTTGATTAACCTTAAGTAATATTAATTTCTAAATTCTTGAGATCATTCTGTAGGATACCCAGATATCTCTTAGCTATAATCTACATACTTCTCATATTATCTGTCAATACTATCAGACCCAAATAAGTAAAACTTCTTTGTAAGCTGATAAAACAGGTACAGGAATGGCTATGATCATACTTATACTATTAAAAATAAATTTTAGTCTGCTGAGATTGAAAAGAAAAATAATTACTACAAAATATTCAGATTTAGCAAATGTTTCCTCTGTACAAAGCAGTGTATTTAATGTAGTGGGAAATAAAAAGAGGATAAAGTCATGATCCTTTTCCTCTAAGAACCTGCAGTCTACTTGGGGACTCATATCAGTAATTGGAATATGAGTAACTATTAACTCCTATTCTATATTATAAACTTCTATAAGTCCTATATTAGAATTTCAAATAAGATGCCGTAAGAATCTAGGCAAATCTAAACCTAGGTTGTAGTGTTGGTTGCACAGCCATATAACTTTATTAAAAGTCATCAAACTTTTAATACTTTTATACTTAAAATGAATGAGTTTTATGGTAGATAAATTATATCTCAACACTGCTAAAAGAGTTTAGAGAAAGAAGAAATTATTTCTGATTGAGGAACTTGGGAATTTTTTTTTAATGGCTGGTGTAATCTAAGCTGGATCTTAAAGGACAAGTAGTATTTGCATCAGAAAATAAGCAACAGTGTATTCCAGATAAAGGCAACAGCTTGTCTAAGGTCTAAAAGTTCAAGAATACAAGGCAGTTTCTAGAGGAGCTGGTTGAGACTTTGCTCCATGCCTTAGATTATATGGCTTGCATGCCTACCGTGCATATGGCCATATGGCTATGACATTTCCAAAATGTTCTGGCGTATCCCTACTGAGAAACGTATAACTGTACATAGAATTTTCCACCTCTCTTTGGGTTAGAAACAAGAGCTTGCCTACATTATAATGAGGAGGGTGTGTAATCACAGAGTTATTTTACAGCTGTCAGTGGCACCACTGATCATAACAACTACTGACATTTATTTTCATTTTTATAGCTTAAAATCACTGATGAATGCATTATCTCCTTTGAGCCACAATCTTTATTTTTTTTCTGTGAGGAAACTGAGATTATGGGAGGGCCCAGAGCCTAAAATACCAAAGCCACATTAAAGGGAAAGTCAAGATATTCTGGCCTGCTAAGAGTAAAAAGAGGAAGAGAAAATGAGTACATGATCATTGAACAGTTTAGACATTGCTAACTAAATTGGGATGTACACATGAATCAAAGTTCATCTCACACAAAAAGAATAAAATGGATAAAGTTAACTACTGTCACCAATAATATGAAAGCAAAGTTGAATTTTTTCCTGAAGAGCTGAAATAAGCCTATTATTGACAGGAATAGCCCATTTTAAATACCTTGTATTGATAACAGAGAAGAGTACTTAGGAAACAGTTTCTAAATAGCTTTTTTGTTGTTTGCTTTTTTAACAATGTAAAAAGATTAAAATTTAAATTGTGTCTTTCCAAAACAGAGGACTTCTCAGATTATATAAGTAAGCAGCTAAACAGAAACTTAATTTCTAATTTAAAATGTGATTAGTGGCCAGTAAAGTCATGTTTAAAATGGAAAGATAGTTTTCCTAATGTCCTTCAAAGAAGATGACTTATTTTGTTCTTGACTTTGACCCCATCTGACCAAGTGCTCAGAATTTTTCAATATGAACCATACTGTATACCATTTACAAGAAAAGGAATACAAATTAGCCTGGTGAGCAGCAAAATAGGCAATTTTTTGAAATCGGATTTGTGTTAACCTGCAATCAAATGTAATTTCCATTTTAATACTTATACATTCTTATATTGTTATGAACCTATTCTTAACACGGGTTTTATTTTCTTTGTTTCTCTCCTCCCTCACTTCTGTGAAATACAGAAGGGAAAGGATGTTATTCACACATTTGTACCCCCACTAACTGGTGTTACAGTACATCTGGCTTCCACTGGAGAGCCCCTGACATCGCAGGGAACGGTGATCAAAATTCCACACACTAGCTTCAAGCTGGGGGCTCGTAGCTACTGCAGCATTGAAAGGGAATCTTTTCCTGGCTTCTTTAAAATAAGCATGGTGATGGGATGGTTTAAGGGAAGAACACCTCTCAAATCACATGACCACTGCTACGCTTTCGTGTGTCCTGCTTTCTTCATAACAGCTTGGCACTACATTCTTTCCCTGTATCTTAATGGGCTTGTGTGTGTACAAGTGGGGTGGAGGGTGGGGAGGTAAATGGATGGTTATACATTATGCATGCATCTTTCACTGTTAAAGCAATGTGCCTTCCCTTATATGTCACAAATTATGGTCACAGATTAAATCTTCTGTGTCTTGAGATATTGGGCCATCTCTCTCTTTTTGGTGTGAGATTCATGTGTTTGGGTGTGTTTTGATGTTTACACCCTCAATTGTTCTTCATGTTGCATTTAACGTAAGTTGAAATGTTCTCCCATAAGAGTTAGCTTTTCATGTTGGGCTGAAAAAGTCTTCATTTCTGTGTAGCAATTCATGTTATTATAACCTATGGCTTTCAATTGTACCTCCCATAATGAAGAGCTGACTTTAAACACTGTGCTATTCTTGTTATGACCTAAGCATAAGGTAAGTGATTTCTCTAACTGTATCTAAAGATTGTTGTTGTTTGTTAAAATTTCTTCGCTTTTTTTAAGGCATTTTCACTTTTGTTCCTTACATTTATTATGTGCTCTCCCTTCTGTTTTTCTGTTTCACATCTTAAGATTTCCTAATGGACGATGTGATCTTCAGCAAAAATTATATTACACATGTAAACACATGTTGAAATGAATTATTTGATGTCTCAAAACAATCTTGATTAGTAAATGAATATACCCTATGTTTTCATTAAGTCCTTCATGTTTTTTATTTTCTCCATTGACTTTAATATAATATGCTGTTCCTACATGTTATTTTAGTTTTGATTCCAGTTGAAAGGGGAATTATTTGTCAATACTGTAAAGTCAGATGTTAACTGAAGTAAAATAACATGATCCAGTAGAATAAAGTAGAAGGTAATCAGATGCCATACCTTTTATTTGTAATCCCTGACAAATTTAACGTTAGGCCAAAAACTGTTTTATTTTGCTTTCCAGACTTTCCTTTTTTTCCCATAGAGTAAAGCCAGGGTAACATAAAGAAAAAAACGAGAAGCCATAAAACTTGAGACAGATCTGTGTTACCTTCTTTATAGTCCATAAGAACAGTAGTTGTTTCTCAAGTGTATCATTTCAAGTGTATGCCATTACATTGTGAGTTAAGTAAAATTTTCATTTTGAAATTGTATAAAATTAAGTACATATTATAAAGAGAACTAGTTTCATGGTGCAAGAGAAAAAGTTATTTGCTACATGCATAAATAATAAACAACATTTTTAAATTTTTCTTTTCTTCAGTGGTGTATAGGTTGATTGATTGATTGATTTATACACACACACATACTCAAGATCACTAAAGGAATTCTTATAATCATTGATATTAAAGTGATTCTCCCCAAATCTGGTTCAAATAGCCAATGTAATATAAATGGGAAAGCATTGATTATACTGCTGTTGGCAATTTATGAACCTTGATAAACGCTCAGATTCAGGGAATTGAATTGTTTTCATCATCCAAATTTCTCCACCAAAGCTGTTTGAAATATGTAGTTCTAAACTGAGGTGCCACAAAGCAACACTTGGGTTTCTTTATTCAATTCATGTTATGAATGATTTTGCTTGTTAATTTTTTAAGTTACCTAGGGAACGGGAGAGGGTATTTTGTTGTTGTTTTGGTTTGGTTTGGGTTTTTTTGGTAAAGCCAACTAGTTCTTCACCACCATTTCCATTATATACATTAGAAAATGTATATAAGAGGCATTATATAAATCTGTTGGAACATTTTATGAGACAATTTGAACTACTCATCTGAACTGCTCTGTTCATTGTAAATCTCTTGTTTCTATCCATACACTAGCTCCACTCTAGATTGGAAGGGCTTAAAGATGAACTCTGGAGGAATAGAGGCTACGACTTAAGAGTAACTATTACTGATCAAAGGAGCCACTTTCCATTCGCAAACATTGCTTTGCGCTATGGGTTTGGGCTCCTTCTGTTTCTACATCTTGTTGAATGAAGACTTTCTTGACTTCCATTTGACTTCTTTGAACTCTGTTTTTGTCTTTTAACATTTCCCCCTTTCTTTTCCTTCTCTCTCCCAGATTTTTCTCTCACTCTTCTAGCTTTCTCTTGTGTTCTTTGAATCACTTTTTGAAATGTAGTTTCTCTCTTTATTAAGCTTGTCTATTGTCTGTTAGTGTGTGTTTCTTTTCTTTAAGGCTGTAGTGGTATAGTTACACTTATGTTCATTCCATAGTATAGCAACTTGCTTATTTATTTTGCAGCAAGTTCATTAGTCATTCTTACCCTCTTGGTATGAATTTTTAATGAGAAATAGCAGAACATTCTGCATTTACATATTGTCCCCTTCTGTAATTCCATACTTTATTTTCCATTGTTTAGATTTACACCCTCAAACCTCTCTCTCTTTTCTTTTCCTCATTCTTGTGTCTTCTTCCCTGTATTATTTTCTTTAAGCAGTCATTGATTTATTTCCCATTTGGTCCAGAATTGTACTTAAATAAGACTTCTGAGTAAAAGAATATAAGAATATTATCTTCAGACTAGCTTTTTCCTTCTAGTATGTTTAAAACTAGTTGAACAATCTGGGCCAAAAGAGAATAACTAACATTTGGAATTATTTTTCCTTTTTTTTTTTTTTTTTTTTTTTTTTGGTGTGTGTGTGTGTGTGTGTGTGTGTGTGTGTGTGTGTATTTTTCTTGTATGTATGTTTGTGACTTTTTTATTGCCGTTTTTTTAAACATTAACAATTGTTTTTTTCAGGGAAGGACAACCATAACCCACCCTAAGTTGCAACATTCCTTTCATAAGTTGTTTCATTATGATAGTAGATTGTGTTGAACTATAGAAATTAATTTGTTGTGTATATATCCATTTGTGGCAAGCTGCTGTGGAATGGGAAGCAGAGGTCTGGAGCTTAAATACAGTTTCTTTTGAAATTAACAACATGTTAATGACATGTACCATGCTCCTTGAATGTAACAGTTTTATCACATTTAAAAGAATGTTTCACATTGACTTAAACATTTGAGTCAAAGCATAAGGGTTTCTGATTGATAAATTCTATATACACCTAAGAACTGGTAAATAAATTTGTTCAATTTCATTGATTTTCAACAGAAGCATATTTCATAATCAATATTATAACTATGATAAATTATGATAATCAGTAACAGGTTATCAGAATCAAATGTAAATGTTATATAAGGATCAATAAGTAACAGGTTATCAGAATCAAATGTAAATGTTATATAAGGATTTCTCTATTTTCCTCCCATTAATTTATATACATACTAAAAAATTACTATAATGGAATACTTAGTTACAACTTAATTACTTGAATTTTATTATTATTCTAGTCAAGAGATATACTGAATGCCTTACTATTAAGGGCCAATATTTACAACTAAATATACAGTAACAAATTTCCATATACCGATTTTAAATACAAATGAATAAAAAATCACCTTTGGTTTATCTCTGTGTAATTTACAATATTGTACCCCGAATTTTTTTCTGGAAGTCAGTTCTTTCTTTAAGGAAAAGATAAAGAAAAAAGATGAAACAAGTATAACATTTTTACTAACATGTTATGACATCTGAAATACTAATATATAAAGCCTTTGCTCCTAGACCTCAGGAGCTTGCCCATTAAATATGCATATCTGCCTATTCATGCTATAAACCCTAAATTACTGAGTTTATGCTCTTTCTACAGGTCCAGTCCAGGTGCAGCAGCAAGGAGAACATTCTCAGAGCCAGTAAGTATTTTACCATTTCTGGTGGGCTGCTGAACTAGAGCTTATAAAGCTAAAAATGATATTTTGGTGAAAAAAAAGAAGAAAAGCAATGGGGAATATTTATGTGACAAATATGAATATTAGGGCTTTTACCTTCTAAAAATATTGCCAGTATCAATACATTAATAAATATTTCCCTTAATCTAATTGTTTTTGCAAGCTGACACCAGAACTTTGATGCACTCCTAGGAGGGTAGGAATGAGCTCCTCTGTGACTCTGAACCTCTCTTTAATTGTTCCACTGCCAAAAGTTATTTGAAAACAAACTAACTGAAAATAATAATAATAATATTGAAAATTCCTGAACAGAGACTAATTCTGAAAAAAGAATATGTGGCTCCCAAGAGGGTACATCATACTCATTTTGTGAATATGAATTCCTGACATATAATAACTTCACAGGCAGCATGTGTTAGAACATAGAACCTTAAACCAAGAGTAAAGAATGCTCAATTTATTTATTGGTTTGATCACTAATAGCATTAACTCAGGAGTCATTTAACTCTGTATATCATTCATTTTTCTGTCTTATAAAAAGGAACTATAATAGGTTTTCCTTATCTGTACCTTTGAAATGATGTCACATTGAAAATCGTGTCTTAAAAGATTTGGGATCCTAAGAAAAAAGTGCTATATAAATGCTAATGGTTTTATTATTGTTCTCTATATCTTAATAGCTTAATGACATCATTCCATCTTCTTCCTGATCTTTATCAAGAGAAGTACAGGGGAATCATACTGAAATAGGCCTACTGATACTCATACCACTGGGAGTTTTAGCAAATTGAATGATTTCTATTTCTAGCAGTATGTCAGCATTATTTTTGTGTTATACTCCTGGTTATGCTTTATTACAGTGAAAGGATACAGATTAACATCAGCAAAGGCAAAAAGATACATAGGGCAGAGTCCAGGAGAAACCAGGTGCAAGCTTCCAGTTGCCCTCTCCCAGTGGAGCCATATGGACATTGCTTATTTCTCCCAGCAGCAATGTATGACAGCATGCATCAAGTATTGCCAACCAGGGAAGCTCACTGAGCCTTAATGTTCAGGGTTTTTATTGGGGTTGGGTCACATGGCCATGGAGTGCTCATGTGGCTGATCTTTATTTCACAATAAAAAAATAGAGACCTTCACAAAGGTAAAAATTCATGGGGTTTTTTTGTGTAAATTTTTCCATTTTTGTTTTGTAAATCTGTTATCTTAGCTCCAAACCCTTGGGCAAACACAATTATTGCTTGCCCAAGACCATTATATTGGCAAGGCGCAGTGGCTCACACCTCAAAAAAATAAATTCCTCTGAGCCCCTTTGAACCTCCAATTTAGGGTATGGGGAGTGTTTCCAATTGTTACAGTGAGATAAGTCTCGCATTAGATTGCACTTTGATTTCTTTTCTTTGAGCTCCCTAGTTGCCAACTTTATTTTGTGTCCTAGGAGTAAGGAATCCTTTTTAGGACTCCTTTGATAATCTAACTAAATTTGAAAATGCATTTATCCTTGGTAAAAATCTGTCTTATTACCAATAACACTACTATTTGTCTCTGTCTGTCCTTGTCATTTTTTGTTGTATCTCTGTAAGGGGTACGTTCATAAGGAAAAACATAGACATAGGCCTCAGTAAGTATTTTGCAAGCTGGCCCTGAAAACCAAGTTTCAGGTTTCTTGTAAGACTGGTGTCCTTTAGATAAACTTTACCCTGGTCATTGATCAACCTATGAGAACCTTCCTTGTTCTCTTTCTGTTTTGTTAGTGAGAGTCTTGCTATGGAAGAATTATAATAGGCACCCTGAGGAATTTTTGATATGAACAAAATTGTTTATTTAAAAGGAGCCTGAGAATAAAAAGGAAACAAAATTGCAAACAACTAATGAGCTAGTTTTTTATTGGTTTGAGGAAATATCCCAAATAAATTGAGATTCCAAAAGTACTTCCATAAGAAATTCCTTGGCCAAGGCAAAATAAAATGTAATAAACTTAAAATAATGCCTCTTTTATATCCCTCAAAACCAAATCTTGGCCCTAATTAAGAAGATACCTGGGTCTCACTGGCTATAGCAGGCAATGAGTTTGCAACTTTTCTGAAATTGCCATGCCATTATATGACTTAACCAAGTCCTTAGAAACTGAACCTCTTTCGTGGCCACCAAATGTGAACAAGCTCTCACAACCCCTTGCCTTGCTATATCCATCAATCCCAAATGATTACATCAGGATCTTTATCCAATCTTAATGAAGCTCCTATATTGAAAGATCTACTTTGGACCAAACTTCAAAATCTCATAAATATCCTGACTTTCCTTTCTGTGACTCTGACTCTAAGACTAAGTCTTTGTTGAAGTGACATTTTTCCTTTCTAGAGTCAAACTCCCTATATTAAAATCTCAATTTCTCTACTTATTTGCTGTGTGAACTTGAACAAGTGCTCAGTATCTCTATGCCTCACTTTCCTGATCTGTAAAATGTGGTAATAACTTGTTCAGAAAGGGCAGAAATTGTAAAGAATAAAATAAATAAATTTTAAAATGTGGTAATAAGATGGTCTGCCTTATAGATTGTTACAAGGATTAAATAGTATAATGCTAGGTACATAATAATCACTCAGTAAATGTTAGCTGATATTATTGTTACTATTACTACTAATACTACCAATTACCATTATTTTCTTGATAATGATGATGATAATAAAATAGGTTACTTTTTATTGAACGTTACTGTGTATTAAATACTTTTCTACATGGTTCATCCCACTTAATCCTCACACACAACAACAAATCCTGTGAGTAAAATTCTATTAATTTCTACATTAAATAGATAAGGAAATTAAAGATTCCAGAGTTAAATAAGTTGCTTGTGTATATGGTAAATGGTATATGAGTTGAAGCCAGTATTTCAGACCTTGATTTTATAGCCCACATTTTTTTTTGTTTGTTTGTTTTGTTTTGTTTTTGAGACGGAGTCCCGCTGTCGCCCAGGTTGGAGTGCAGTGGCGCGATCTCGGCTCACTGCAGGCTCCGCCTCCCGGGTTCACGCCATTCTCCTGCCTCAGCCTTTTGAGTAGCTGGGACTACAGGTGCCCGCCACCTCGCCCGGCTAATTTTTTGTATTTTTAGTAGAGATGGGGTTTCACCGTGTTAGCCAGGATGGTCTCGATCTCCTGACCTCGTGATCCGCCCACCTCGGCCTCCCAGAGTGCTGGGATTACAGGCGTGAGCCACCGCGCCCAGCCTTATAGCCCACATTTTTAACCAACATGCTGTGCTACCTAATTAATTTCAATAAGGCCTTCAAAACCCGATTCAATATTGTGCAAAATATCTAAGCAATAGGTAAGAATAGAAATTGATAGCTGGTATATCCGTGGGTACTTATAAACAAATATCTGATTATCAGTGCCAAAATTGTTTTATTACCACGTGTTATCAGGATGATATGACACTATTGTCTTCTGTCATCTTTCCACCTATAATTCATTTCCGTCAACCACTTTATTTTTAATAAAGCAAACTTTTGTTATTTTTACGAATAACTGGTTTTATGCAAGAAATCAAGTAAAATAAAAAAATTTTACAGATGAGAATTTATATTTCAGCACTGTAGGACAGCGTTTTAATAGCTTTCTTTCTGCCCCACCCCGAGACAAAGTCTTGCTCTGTCACCCAGGATGGAATGCAGTGGCACGATCTCTGCTCACTGCAACCTCCACCTCCCAGGTTCAAGTGATTCTCCTGCCTCAGCCTCCTGAGTAGCTGGGACTACAGGCTTGTGCCACCATGCCCAGCTAATTTTTGTATTTTTAGTAGAGACAGGGTTTCACTATGTTGCCCAGGCTGGAACTTGAACTCCTGACCTCGTGATCAGCTGCCTCAGCCTCCCAAAGTGCTAAGATTACAGGCATGAGCCACGGTGCCCAGCCTTAATTGTTTTCTTGATGTACTTTGTTCAGCCTGTGTTTTATCGGACAAGTGGTACATTTTCCTGGGATTAACTTTTCTAGATTTTTTTAGTATATTTTAATGGAATTCAGAATTTTTATTGATATATAATATTTGTACATATTTATGGAGTACAGGTGATATCTTGATACATGCATAGAATTTGTAATGATCAAGTCAGGGTATTTGGGATATCCATCACCTCTTGAGCATTTATCATTTCTTCATGTTGGGAACATTTCAAATCCTATATTATAGTTATTTTGAAATATACAATACATTGATGTTAACTATAGTCACCCTACTGTACTATCAAATATTAGAACTTATTCATTCTATATAACTGTATGTTTGTACCTTTTAGCCAACTTTTCTTTATCCCCCACACCATCCTTCCCAGCCTCTGATAATATCACTCTGCTCACTGCCTCAGTGAGGTCAACTTTTTTAACTCCCACAGATTAATGAGAACTTGCAACATCTGTCATTCTGTGCCTATCTTACTTTCACTTAACATGCCTTCCAGTTCCATCTGTGTTGCTGCAAATGACAGAATTTCTACTATTTTAAATAGTAGTCCATTGTGTGTATATACCACATTTTCTTTATCCAGTTATTTATTGATGGACACAGTTTAATTCTATATCTTGGCTATGGTGAACAGTGCTTCAGTAATCATGGGGGTACAGGCATCTCTTTTGATATGCTGATTTCCTTTCCTTTGGATATATACCAATATAGCAGAATTGCTGAGTTATATGGTAGTTCTATTTGTAGTTTTTTGAGGGAGTCCATAGTGTTTTTTATAATGTCTTACTAATTTACATTCCCACCAACAGTGTATAAGAGTTCCCTTTTCTCCACATCCTTACCAGTATGTGTTAGTTTTTGTTTTTTTATAGTAGCCATTCTAACTGGAGCCGGATTATATTTCATTATGGTTTTGATTTGCATTTCTCTGATGATTAGTGATTTTGGGCATTTTTTCATATACCTATTGGCCATAGGTATGTCCTCTTTTGAGAGATGTCTATTCAGCTAATTTGATTACTTTTTAATGGAATTATTTGGGTTTTTGCTGTTTAGTTGTTTGAATTCCTTGTATGTTGTGGATATTAGTCCCTTGTCTGATGAACAGTTTGCAAGTATTTTCTTCCATGTTGCAGGTTGACTCTACTCTGTTGATTGTTTCTTTTGCTGTGCAGAAGCTTTTCAGTTTGATATAGTCTCATTTGTCTGTTTTTCTTTTGTTGTCTGTACTTTTGAAGTCTTAGCCAAAAAATATTTGCCTATACCAGTGTCCTAAAGTGTTTCTTCTGTGTTTTCGTCTAGCAGTTTTATAGTTCTCGTTCTTATGTTTAAGTATTTAATCTATTTTCAGGTGATTTTTGTATATAATAAAAGATAGGCGTCTAATTTCATTTTTCTGCATATGGCTATCCAGTTTTCCCAGCACCATTTACTGAGGAAGACACCTTTTCTCTGATGCATGTTCCTGATGCCTTTGTCAAAAGTTAGTTGGTTCCCTATTCTGTTTCATTGATCTATATGTCTGGCTTTATACAAATACCATGCTGTTTTGCGTACTACAGCTTTGTAGCTGCTATTGTTACAATTACTACTAGTACTACTAGTACTACTAGTAATACTATGATTAGTATACTGGTGGTACTTCTGGTATTATCATTATTCTTTTTTTTTTTTTTTGAGATGGAATTTTGCTCTTGTTGCCCAGGCTGGTGTGCAATGGCACAGTCTTGGCTCACTGCAACCTCTACTTCCCGGATTCAAGTGATTCTCCTGCCTCAGCCTCCCAAGTAGCTGGGATTACA
Source organism: Homo sapiens (assembly GCF_000001405.40). Lineage (NCBI taxonomy): Eukaryota > Metazoa > Chordata > Mammalia > Primates > Hominidae > Homo > Homo sapiens. The sequence continues at coordinate 67,029,480 of NC_000014.9, forward strand.
GGCATGCGCCACCACACCCAGCTAATTTCGTATTTTTAGTAGAGATGGGATTTCACCATGTTGGCCAGGCTGGTCTTGAACTCCTGACCTCAGGTGATCCACCCGCCTCAGCCCCCCAAAGTGCTGGGATTACAGGCGTGAGCCACTGCGCCCAGCCTTATCATTATTCTTTAGCGTAAAGGCACTGTCTTAAAAGATCTACTCATTTAGTGAAGATACATTAACTAGTTGGAATAACAAATTAAGCTTTAAAATACACTAGTCTTACGTAAATTTATCAGATAATTTGGCTGCCACCTCTGAGAGCAGAGTTTTAAGAAAATGGATGCATTTAGGACTATGATTAGGGTATAAGAGGAAGGGAAAGCCTAAAGGAAGGCATGTCAAGCTTGGGTACCTTTATAAATCACTCCCTCCTTAATGAAGTAATTATCTTTCTTGGCACTTCTGTCTCCTAGTGTTCCTTTTAAACTATCTGTTTGCATTTTCTCCAGCTTCTTTGGTAGCTCTTTTTTTTTTTTTTTTTGGCCCAGTCATTAATTATCAGTATTATTCAGACTTCTCTCATAGATCTTCCATTCACACTCTATATTATGCATGAGCAAGACCATCTATTAACAAGTCTTTCAAGTAAACCAAATCTATAACTCCAATCCATATCTTCTTCCTAAACTTCAGTTTTTTTTCCAATTGTCTGTTGTAGATCTTTTCTTAAATATTACACAAGTATCTCATACTCAACGTGACTAAAACTAAATTTATCATCTTAATTTACTCTTCTTCCATATTTCAAGGAGTAACATCACTAGCCACTGATTTGTCCAAACCAGAAATCTTTAGTGTTTATTATTCCTCATCCTACAAGCATTTTTATCATTCTAAAATACAAATCTAAACCTATCATACTCCTTTAATAACATTAACCCTTAAATGGCTCCTTATTATTCTTGTGTAAAGGCCCAACTCCTTAAAATTGCTTACTATTGGCTTCTGCTTATCTCTAGTTTTACCTGGAATTCAGTGCACCAGCCATATGAACATTTCAATTTGCAAATAGTTCCCTCTTTCCCAAAATGCTGATTTCTCATTTCTTCCAAAACCTGGATAACTCCTACTTATCCTACAGTTCTTTCAGGAAGCCTTCTATCACCTCCCAAATCTGAGCAAAGTGCCCCTCCCAAGTTCTTTTCTAGTATACTGTAGTTTCCCTACTTTATTGCAAGAGTATTTACAGTGTAGTGCTTTTCTGTCTTCTCCACTGTCCTCTCTACTCCACCCTAAGCATCTTGCAAGACCTCATCTATCTTGTTCCCTGATACCATTACCAGAATCTATCACCATGACTCTCTCTCAATAAGAGTTGATTGGATGACTGCATAAATAAATGAGAGGAAGACCTTAAGCAGACAGAGCAAGCAAAAGACAGCAGAATTGCTAAATAAGAAACCAGTATGGGAACAGAAAAGGAAAATAATGAACATTAGCAAAAACTCTAATATATTTATTGAAAATACTGGGGGTTTTGTTTGTTTGTTTGTTTGTTTGTTTGTTTGTTTGTTTTAACTGCTCCTTCTCTTCAAATTATCTCATGTATCCACTTTGGCCCTTATCCCTTCATTCATTCTCACTACTGCCACCCAGGTTCTCGACTTATTACTACCTCTTGCCTGGAGTGTAAGTCAGACTTTTCAGTCTTATACCCCTTAATTTGTCATAGATGGATAGGTCTTCTGGTTAGTTTTCTTGCATCTTACTATTAAGAAACATGAATTTTTATCTTTTTTATTATTCCCAGGAAAGAGGATTTTGAAATAATCCTTGGAGAAGTATGTTAATTTCTTATGCCTCCTATTTTTAGAAAAAAATTTCTGTTTATCTCTTGCTGCAACCTAATCCCTTATCATCTTGATTGGCATTCACTGGATCTGACAATAGCTGCTTACCATCACTTAGATTACCTTTCTTTATATAACTAAGGATAATTAGCAATTGACTTCCATAAATATTTATTGAGGTACTATTTATAAGCACTATTTTTCTCGACTTTTTTATCTAGTCTAAGTAAACCAACTTATTCAATTTTCCTTGCTATATCCTTATGTAGTTTATTTACTAGGTTCTCGAAATTTAAAAAGAAAAAAATATTTTAGAGATTGTATCTCACTATGTTGCCCAGACTGGATTTGAACTCCTGGGCTCAAGCAATCCTCCTGCCTCAATCTCCTGAGTAGCCATCATGCCTGGCTTTCAAATATAATTTTTTTATTTGTGAAACCTATATTCCCAAAGTACTATTCGCTATTCAATTTAAATTTTGTCTTATTTCTCTTATTTTTCTCGGTTATCACCTTTTTATTTTATATGAAAAGTTGCATCATTCATTACTTTGAGTCAGGCTTTTTACCTTCCTCGTTGTCAACATTATAGCAGGTATTGCTAAGAAACATTAAGTTAATAGATAGGAAGCCCCAACCCTCATATCCTCATAGAGACACCAACTTAAAAGCAATATATGGTCATAATAGCTTCATGAAAACTCCAGAAAAAAGGTTGTTGCAATACCCCCAAGCTGGCACAAAGCCAAGAATAGCCACATTGAAATGGATAAGAACTGTTTTACTTTACCTGTGATAGTCCCTCCTCCAAGTCAGCATAGCTTAGCATGATAAAGAGAAAACACCCTACTCATGGTTTCTTTCTGTGGGGGAAGAGTGGAAACATACATCCAATATTCTAGCTTTTCAGAGGACTGCCCAAATAACTGCCTTCTATCTCACTGCATTGATGGAACTACCACAGTTTGAATGCCTGAGGGCTACTGAAAGCCAGGGAGAGTGGAGGCAGCTTGCTGTAGTACCACAGGGCCTACAGTGCCACACACAGGCACCAGCACCTCTCAGTGCAATCTGGAGAAAGTGCCCAATTCTTGACTTTTCACTCAGGAGGGAGAGAGAAGAGTGGAACATGCATTAGGTGTTCTGACTTTTTGGAGGGCTACCAAGAGAATGGTTTCTCTGTTGCCTCACTGGGGTGGTAACAGAGAGCTGGTGTACTTTGGATGTCTGCGGGCCACTGAGAATAAGGAACAGTGATGGCTTGCTACAGCAGCACCACAGAGCCTCCAGTGCTGCAGACAGACACCATTGAGAGCAAGAGATTGCAAGCTCCTGACAGAGAAACCTGCAAACCTCTCTAATTGGGAAATTACATACACAGACCCAGAGAAGTCACATTCCCCCGCTTTCAAAAAGGTTTCAGAGGCCGCCTCAGAATTTCTAGCCAGGTTGATTGGTGAGAGTGTCCCCTATATAAGGCCAGTCTGTAAAGATTGGGAGACATGGCTGTTTCTCAAATGACTAAAACTCAGCAAAAAATCACAAAGCACACCAAGAAATCAGGATACATGCCCAATCAAAAGATCAAAGTAATTATCTAGAAACCAACCTCAAAGAAACAGAGATTTATGATTACCTGGCAAATAATTCAAAATAATTACCTTTAAAAAGGTCACTGATCTAAGAGAGAACACAAATGGACAACTAAACAAAATCAGGAAACCAATGAATGGACAAAATGAAGATTTCAACACAAAGTTAGAAACTATTAAAAAAGAACCAAAGAGAAATTCTGGAGCCAAAGGATACAATAACTGAATTGAAAAACTCACTAGAGGGGTTCAACAATTACTTGACCAATCAGAAGAGATCAACAGCAAAATTGGAAGACAGGTCATTTGAAATTATTGTTAGAGGAGCAAAAAGAAAAAAAAGGAACAGAAAAGTAAAGCAAAGAAAGCCAAAGAGGCCAGGAGTGGTGGTTCACACCTGTAATCCCAACACTTTGGGAGGCCAAGGCAGGCGGATCACTTGAGTCCAGGGATTCGAGACTAGCCTGGCCAACATGGTGAAACCCCATCTCTACTAAAAATAAAAAAAGTAGCCAGGCCTGGTGGTGCACACCTGTAATCCCAGCTACTCAGGAGGCTGAGGCAAAAGAATCGCTTGAACCCAGGAGGTGGAAGTTTCAGTGAGCCAAGATTACACCACTGCACTCCACCCTAGGCAACAGAGTGAGACCCTGACTCAAAAAAAAAAAGAATGCCAAAAAGATTTATAAAATGCCATTTTGTGGACCAGTGTATACATTATGAGAGTTCCAGGAGAAAAGGGACACCAAACTTATTTGAAGAAATAATGGTCAAAAACTTCCCAAATTTGATGAAAGAAATGTACATCCAGACACTTGAAGTTCAAAGGATATAACTAAGGTGAATCCAAAGAGGCCCACACTAAGACATGTTATAATGAAACTGTCAAAAATCAAGGGCAAAGAGAAAATTTGAAAGGAGCAAGAGAAAAGTAACTCATCATGTACAATGAAGTTCCCATAAGAATGTCATTGGATAAACCTTACAGGTCAGAAGGGAGCAGTACGTTATATTCAAAGTGCTGAAGGAACAAAATCTGCCAGTGAGGAATACTGCATCCAGCAAAACTGTCCTTTCAAAAATGAAAAAAGAAAGACTTTCCCGGGCAAACAAAACCTAAGGGAGTTCATCACAACTAGACCTGGCTTACAAGAAATGCTAAAGAGAGTCCTGCAAGTTGACATGAAAGGACTCTAGACAACAACATGAAAGTTTATGAAAAACACAAAGCTCACTGGTAAAGGAAAATATATATATATACAAATTCAGAATACTATATTACTATAATGGTGGCATGTAAATCACATGTAACACTGTGGGGATGGAAAATGTAAATGAGTAGACTTTTATATATGATTGATAGATTGTTCTGTTTCATGTAAGTCTCATGGTAATTACAAAGAAAATGCTTATAGAAGATACAGAAAAGAAAATGAGAAAGTAATCAAAGCATATCGATAATGCAAAGGAAGACAGCAAGAGGGAAAAAGAGGGACTAAATAGCTACAAGACGGACAGAAAACAACATGTGCCAATAATAAGGCCTTTAAGTGTAATTGGATTAAACTCCCCAGTAAAAAGACAAAGTGAATTAATGGATTAAAGAAACAAGATGCAATTATATTCTGTCTACAAGAGACTCATGCTAGATGTAAAGACACATATAGGCTGAAAATGAAAGGACAGAAAAAGATATTACTTCATGCAAATTATAATCAAAAGAGAGCAGTGGTGGCCATAGTTATATCAGACAAAATATAGACTTTAGGTTAAAAGCTGTCACAAGAGACAAAGAAGAATATTATACTGAAAGAACAGAAATATATAACAATTATAAATTAAAATCCAGCTAACATTAGAGCACCCAAATATAAGAAGTAAACATTGACAGGCGTGAAGGGAGAATAGACAATAACACAATAATGGTAGGAGATTTCAATATTCTACTTTGGATAATGGATAGAACAACCAAAAAGATTAATAAGGAAACAGAGAACTTGAACACTGTTGACCAATTAGATCTAACAGAATATTCCACCCAACAATAGTAAAATACACATTCTTTCCTAGCATACATGGAATATTCTGTAGGATAGACCACATATTAGGCTAAAAAACAAGTCTTAACAAAGTTAGGAAGACTGAAACCTATGAGATCTTAGTGGACTGAAACTAGACATCAATAGCAGTAGGAAAACTGGAAGATACACAAATATGTGAAAATTAAATGAGACACTCTTGAACAACCAGTAGGTCAAAGGAAAAAAAAATGAGAGAAATTAGAAATATCTTGAGGCAAAAACACAACACACCAAAACTTATGAATTGCAGCAAAAGCAATACTAAGAGAGAAGTTTATATTAGTGGCATGTACTTTAATGAGGGGGAAAGACCTCAAATCAGCAACCTAACTTTTTACCTCAAGGAATGAGAAATAGAATAAACTAAATCAAAAGTTAGGAGAAAGAAGGAAATAATAAAGATCAGAGCAGAAATAAACAAAATAGAGAATAAAAATACTAGGAAAAAAAGCAATGAAACTAAGAGTAGGATTCTCTAAAATACCAACAAAATTGACAAACTCTTAGCTAGACAGACAGAAGACTCAAAATAACTAAAATCAGAAATAAAAGGAGACATTGCAACTGATGCTTCGGAAATAGAGATGATAAGAGACTGCTATATACAATTATATGCCAACAAATTGAATCACCTAGAAGAAGTGGATAAATTCCTAGAAACACAACCTTGGTGTTCAGTCACAGTCTTGGTGACTGAATTATGGAGAAATAGAAAATCTAAACATATCTATAACCATTAAGGATATTGAATCAGTAATCAAAAACCTCCCCATAAAGAAAACCTCCCAATAAAGTAAAACCCATGACCAGATGGCTTCACTAGAGAATTCTACCAAGCATTTAAAGAAGAATTGGTACCAGTTCTTCTCAAAATATTCCAAACACTTGAAGAAGAAGGAATACTTCCAAAATAAATTTATTAGGCAACATTACCCTGATACGAATAGAAAAAATACAACAATAAAAAAGATAACTGATAAAAAAAATTGATGCAAAAATCCTCAACAAAATACTAGGAAACCAAATTGGATTATACACTTCAGCCATGTGGGATTTATCCCTGGAATGCAAGGATCATTCAATGCATGAAAATCAATAAATGTAATGTATCACATTAACAGAACATGGAATGAAAATCACATGATCATCTCAAAAGGTGCAGAAAATGCATTTTAGAAAATTCAGCAACCTTTCGTGATATAACAATCAGCAAACTAGAAACAGAAGGAAATTACCTCAATATAATAAAGGTCATTTATGAAAAGCTCATAACATAACATACTAAATGGTGAAAAACTGGAAGCTTTTTTTTTTTAAGATCAAGAACAAAGCAAAGATGCTCATTTTTGCCACTTCTTTTTAGTATAATACTGGAAGTTCTAATCAAAGCAGCTAGGCAATGAAAAGAAAGAAAATGCATCCCAAATGGAAAGAAAGAAGTAAAATTATCTCTGTTTCCAGATGACATGATCTTATGTAGAAAACTCTGAAAATTCCACTTATATACATACATGCACACACACACACACACACACACACACACACACACACACAGAGAAACACTAACTGTTAAAGCTAATACAAGAAGCCAGTAAAATTGCAGGGGTACAAAGTCAACAATAAAAAATCAATTGCATTTTTATACACTAACAGTGAATGATTAACAATCTGAAAAAGAAATTAAGAAAATCCCATTTACAATAGCATCAGAAAGAATAAAATACTTAGGAATAAACTTAATGGAGAAAATGAAAGACTTGTGCAGTGAAAACCACAAATCATTGCTGAATAAAGTTAAAGACACAGTAAATGGAAAGATACCTGGATTCATGGATGGAAAGACACAATATTGTTAAAATATCCATACTACCCAAAGGAATCTACAAATTCAAGGCAATCCCTATCAAAATACCACTGACATTTTTTATAGAAATAGAAAGTACCACCCTAAAATTCATATAGAATTTCAGAGGTCCTGGGACAACCAAAATAATCTTGAAAAAGAAGAACAAAGCTGGAAGTCTTACATCTCTTGATTTCAAAACATATTACAAAGTTACAGTAATCAAAAAAGTCTGGAACTGGCATAAAGACAGACATATAAACTAATGTAACAGAATATAGAGCCCAGAAATACATGTTCGTGTATATGGTCAAATGATCTTTGAAGATGGTGCCAAGACCATTCAATGGGGAAAGGGCAGTCTCTTCAATAAACGTTGTTGGGAAAACAGCTATTCTCTTTGCAAAAGAACGAAGACAGACCCTTATCTTATACCATGCACAAAAATTACCTCAAAATGGATTAAAGATCTAATAGTTAAGTCTAATAGGTAAGACCTGAAACTATGAAACTCACAGAAGGAAATATGCAGAAAAACTTTATGACATTGAAATGGGAAACGATCTCTTGGATATGATACCAAAAAGCACAGACAACTTATACAAATGTAGACAAATGAGACTACCTCAAATTTAAATATTTTCTGCATCAAAGGAAACAATCAGCAGAGTAAAATGGCAACAACAGAATGGGAAAAAATAATTGCAAATCATATATCTGATAAGGGGTTAATATCCAGAATATATAAAGAACCCCTACAACTCAGCAACAAAAAAAATCAAATATCCCAATTTAAAAATGGGGAAAGGACTTGAATAGACATAACTCAAAGAAGATATACAAATGGCCAACACACATATGAAAAGCTGCTCAATGTCACTAATCATCAGGGAAATACAAATTTAAATCACAGTGAGATACCACCTAACACCATTAGGATGACTACTAAAAAAAAAAAAAAATAGAAAATAACAAGTATTGGTGATCATAGGGAGAAATTGGAACCCTTGTGCCCTGTTGGTAGGTTTGTGAAATGTTGCAGCTGCTACAGAAAATAGTATGGCGTTTCTTCAAAAAATTAAAAATAGAACTTTCATATGATCTGTCAGTCTCACTTCTGGGTATATATCCAAAAGAATTGAAAATAGCATCTCAAAAAACTACTTACACACCTGTGTTCATCACAGCATTATCTACAATAGCCAAGATATGAAAGTAATCTTAATGTTCATTAACAGATGAGGGGATAGGCAAAATATGGTCTATTTATACAATGAAATATTATTGAGCCTCCAAAAAATAAGGAAATCCTGTCATATGCTACAACATGGATGAACCTTCAGGACATAATGCTAAGTGAAATAAACTAATCACCAAAAACTAATACTTCATGGTTCTACTTATATGAGACATCTAAAGTAATTGAACTCATAGAAAGTAGAATGGTGGTTGCCAGGGGCTGGGAGGAGAGGGAAATAGGGAATTAGCCAATGGATGTAAAGCTTCATTCACACAAAATGAGAAAGTTCTAGCAATCAGTTGTACAATAATATGCATATATTGTTAATTCTGTTAAATTTTTTAACATAAATACTTAAAAATTGTTTAAGAGGGTTACAAAATGTATATAGATTAAGCATCTGGAAAATGTATTAAAAAGTTAAGTTAATCATTGATCATAGAATTATCCTGGAATGGACATATATTGTCCTTCAGTGTCTCTTTTTTGTGATGTGTATATGTTACCATTCTATGTGTAACAAGTGAATTACTGATTCTCATTATTAGATTCACCACCTACATACCAATGGCTTTCTATTTTAAGCCTGACTTCTCTTCCAAGCTCCAGATTCTCCTTGCTGTTGTGTACTGGAATCACCCTTTGATGTCCTGCTGGCATCTCACATTTCTTTCATCAGAAACCAGATTTAGGATCCTTTCCTCCAAATTATTCCTGTATTGTTCTTTTATACAATTACACTCCCACTTACTCTAATAACTAAATTTGAAATCTCCTCATGATATTACCATCTCCTTCTCAAAGCATAGTCAGTCAGTCATGGAACCCTCTGCTGCAGCTCTTCTAAATATCCTTTTTCCCATTCTTGTTGTAATAGTTCAGGCCTTCTGCATCATTCTCCTTTGGGATTGCAGTAGCATAATAATTGCTCTTCCTATCTTCAGTCTCTTGCTCCCTGACAGTCTTCCATCAGTCAAGTATTACATTTTAAAGTACATACTACTTTTCTACTGAAAATCTTGAATAGTTCTCCATTTTCCATAGTACTAAGCCTCCAGAATTTGTCCTGAACTGAATTGACCAGCCTTATACCTTATATTTCATCCTCTTCACCTCCAACCTCCAGCTTCATTGGGCAATTTCGCATTCTCTAAAAGTACTTTCAGATCTTTGTAATTTTGTTCATATTTTCTCCAGTTTCATATGTTCTTCTCCCTTTTCTCATTGTTTAAAGATCCCCCCTGTAAAGCCTTATAGTTTGTCCCATCAGAATTAGCTGTTGCTTTTTCTTTGTTATCTTACATAGTGTTTTGTTTGTACTTTAAAACATAAGCATACACATAGTCTGTTATTTTTTCCTTAAAACACAGCCTGATTTGTGTGTTCCTTGAAAGACTGTGTAAGATAGGAATCTCATCTGGTTTATTTCAACATACTCCCAGGCCAGGTGCAGTGGCTTGTGCCTGTAATCCCAGCACTTTGGGAGGCCAAGGCAGGAGGATCACTTGAGCCCAGGAGTTCAAGACCAGTCTGGGCAATATAGTGAGATCTCATCTCTATCAAAAATTAAAAAATTAGTTGGATGTGGTGGCACATGCTGTAGTCTCAGCTACTCAGGAGGCTGAGGTGGGAGGATTCCTTGAGCCCAGGAGGTGGAGGTTACAGTGAGCTGAGATCAAGCCACTGCATTCCAGCCTGGGCAACAGAGCAAGACCCTGTCTCAAAACAAAACAAAACCTCACTCACTGTGTTTAACAAAGTGCCCTATATTGACCAGAATAAAGTTTGAAGTTGTAAGTAGTGTTTGCTTATCTATACAACCGTTCTACTTTGTCAGTCTATATAATCTAGACTGTACTGTGTGCATAACATCTTTGGACCTTGATGTTAAGGCCTTTTTTTCTTCCTCAAAGAGGTGATAATCTAGTTAAGAAAATGGACATGTATATAAATAAGTATAATTACTGTGAGATATGTGGTTAATATAATATGCAATTAGAAGTCCTAAAAATTGAGTATTTTATAGTACCTCAGTGCAAAAATAGACATACGTGCATTGTTTCAGAAAGGAGAGACTATTGATGAAAGTGATTTTTGAAATTTTGAAATAATTTCAAACTTCAGAAATGTTACAAGAATAGTATAGAGAATTCCTGTATATCTTTCATCCAGACTCCCCCAAATGTTAACATTTTGTCACATTTCCTTTATCATTTCTCTCTATAAATTAATATACATATTATCCCAAACTACTTGTGAGTAAATTGCAGACATGATGCCTCTTTACCCCTAAATAATTTAATGTGTATTTCCTTCCAAAAAAATCTGGAGGGATGGCAAATAAAAAAGACTTTCTCTTACATAACCACAGTACAATTATGAAAATTAGGAAATGAACATTGCCACAATACTATTATGTAATCTTATTCAAATTACATTTTGTCAGTTTTTCTAATAATGTTCTTTATAACAAAGGAGACAACATTCTTCTGATCTGGGATTCAATCCAGAATCATGCGTTACATTTAGTTATCCTGTCTCTGTAGACTCCTTTAATATGGAACAAGTCTTCAAGTTTGTCTTTGTCTTTCATTACCTTTATATTTTTGAAGCATATAGCTCAGTTATTTTGTACAATGTCCCTCAAATTTATATTTTTCTCAGGTTTCTTAATGGTTTAATTCTTGTTATACATTTGGTCAGGAATATCTCAAATGTGATGTTGTATCTTTCTCAGTGCATCTTATCAGGGGGCTCATGATGTCAGTTTATCCTATTACTGGTGATATTAACTTTGATCACTTGGCTAAAAGGGTGTCTGCGAGATTTCTCCACTGTAGTTAATGAGTACAGTTAATAAATATCTTGTAGGGATATACTTTGAGACCAGACAAATATGTTTTGTTTTTCTTGAGGCTTTTACCTTCTAGTCTTAGCATTAACTGATTATTTTTCCCTAAACCAATTATTACTAGATGGTTGCCAAGTGGTGATTTTCTAATTCCAATATTTCTTCATGTAACAGCTGACCTTCTGTTATAAGGAAGAATTTATTCTCAGGCCAGCATATTTTCAAAATGAGAAAGGCATCATAGCTCTACTTTGGGCCTTATTGGTATTTGCCCAAAATACAAACACTTTCTTTTTTTTTATTTTTTTTATTATACTTTAAGTTCTGGGGTACATGTGTAGAAGGTGCACTTTTTTTACATAGGTATACACGTGCCATGGTGGTTTGCTGCACCCATTAACCCATCACCTACATTAGGTATTTCTCCTAATGTTATCCCTCCCCTAACCCCCCACCCCCCAACAGGCCCTGGTGTGTGATGTTCCCCTTCCTGTGTCCATGTGTTCTCATTGTTCAACTCCCACTTAGGAGTGAGAACATGTACTGTTTGGTTTTCTGATATTGTGATAGTTTGCTGAGAATGATGGTCTCCATCTTCATCCATGTCTCTGCAAAGGACATGAACTCATCCATTTTTATGGCTGTATAGTATTCCATGGTGTATATGTGCCACATTTTCTTAATCCAGTGTATCATTGATGGACATCTGGGTTGGTTCCAAGTCTTTGCTATTGTGAATAGTGCCACAATAAACATATGTGTGCATGTGTCTTTACCATAGAATGATTTATAATCCTTTGGATATATGCCCAGTAATGGGATTGCTGGGTCAAATGGTATTTCTAATTCTAGATCTTTGATGAATCGCCACACTGTCTTCCACAATGGTTGAACTAATTTACACTCCCACTAACAGTGTAAATGTGTTCCTATTCTTCCACAACCTCTCCAGCATCTGTTGTTTCCTGACGTTTTAATGATCTCCAACCTAACTGGTATGAGATGGTATCTCATTGTTGTTTTGATTTGCATTTCTCTAATGACCAGTGGTGATGAGCATATTTTCATATGCCTGTTGGCTGCATAAATGTCTTCTTTTGAGAAGTGTCTGTTCATGTACTTTGCCCATTTTTTGATGGGTTTTTTTTTTTCTTGTAAATTTGTTTGAGTTCTTTGTGGATTCTGGATATTAGCCCTTTGTCAGATGAGTAGATTGCAAAAATTTTCTCCCATTCTGTAGGTTGCCTGTTCACTCTTTTTAGTTTCTAAATTTTTTAGTTTCTTTTGCTGTGCAGAAGCTCTTTAGTTTAATTAGATCCCATTTGTCAATTTTGGCTTTTGTTGCCATTTCTTTTGGTGTTTTAGACATGAAGTCTTTGCCCATGTCTATGTCCTGAATGGTATTGCCCAGGTTTTCTTCTAGGATTTTTATGGTCCTAGGTCTTATGTTTAAGTCTTTGATCCATCTTGAGTTGATTTTTGTATAAGGTGTAAGGAAGGTGTCCAGTTTCAGTTTTTTGCATAGGGCTAACCAGTTTTCTCAACAGTATTTATTAAATAGAGAATATTTTCCCCATTACTTGTGTGTGTCAGGTTTGTCAAACATCACATGGTTGTAGATGTGTGGTGTTATTTCTCAGGCCTTCATTCTGTCCCATTGGTCTGTATATCTGTTTTGGTACCAGTATCATGCTGTTTTGGTTACTCTAGCCTTGTAATATAGTTTGAAGTCAGGTAGCGTGATGTCTCCAGCTTTGTTCTTCTTGCCCAGGATTGTCATTGGCTATGTGGGCTCTTTTTTGGTTCCATATGAAGTTTAAAGTAGTTTTTTCCAATTCTGTGAAGAAAGTCAATGGTAGCTTGATGGGGATAGCATTGAATCTATAAATTACTTTGGGCAGTATGGCCATTTTCATGATATTGGTTCTTCCTATCCATGAGCAAGGAATGTTTTTTCCATATGTTTGTGTCCTCTTTTATTTGCTTGAGCAGTTGTTTGTAGTTCTCCTTGAAGAGGTCTTTCACATCCCTTGTAAGTCGTATTCCTAGGTATTTTATTCTCTTTGTAGCAGTTGTGAATGGGAGTTCACTCATGATTTGGCTCTCTGTTTGTCTGTTATTAGGGTATAGAATGCTTGTGATTTTTGCACATTTATTTTGTATCCTGAGACTTTGCTGAAGTTGCTTATCAGCTTAAGGAGATTTTGGGCTGAGACAGTGGGGTTTTCTAAATATACAATCATGTCATCTGCAAACAGAGACAATTTGACTTCTTCTCTTCCTATTTGAATATCCTTTATCGCTTTCTCTTGCCTGATTGCCCTGGCCAGAACGTCCAATATTATGTTGAATAGGAGTGGTAAGAGAGGTCATCCTTGTCTTGTGCTGGTTTTCAAAGGGAATGCTTCCAGTTTTTGCCCATTCAATATGATATTGGCTGTGGGCTTGTCATAAATAGCTCTTGTTATTTTGAGATGTGTTCCATCAATACCTAGTTTATTGAGAGTTTTTAGCAGGAAGGAGTGTTGAATTTTGTCAAAGGCCTTTTCTGCATCTATTAAGATAATCGTGTTTTTTGTCATTGGTTTGGTTTATGTGATGGATTACATTTATTGATTTGCGTATGTTGAACCAGCCTTGCATCCAGGTATGAAGCCGACTTGATCATGGTGGATAAGATTTTTGATGTGCTGCTGGATTCGGCTTGCCAGTATTATATTGAGAATTTTTGCATCGATGTTCATCAGGGATATTGGCTTGAAATTTTCCTTTGTTGTGTCTCTGCCAGGTTTTGGTATCAGGATGATGCTGGCCTCATAAAATGAGTTGGGGGGATTCCCTCTTTTTCTATTGTTTAGAATAGTTTCAGAAGGAATGGTACCAGCTACTTTTTGTGCCTCTGGTAGAATTCAGCTATTAATCCATCTGGTCCTGGACTTTTTTTGGTTGGTAGGCTATTAATTACTGCCTCAATTTCAGAACTTGTTAATGGTTTATTCAGGGATTCAACTTCTTCCTGGCTTAGACTTGGGAGGGTGTATGTGTCCAGGAATTTATCCATTTCTTCTAGATTTTCTAGTTTATTTGTGTGGAGGTGTTTATACTATTATCTGATGGTAGTTTGTGTTTCTGTGGAATTAGTGGTGATATCCCCCATATCATCCTAGCACTTTCAGAGGCTGAGGTGGGTGGATTACCTGAGGTCAGGAGTTTGAAACCAGCCTGGCCAACATGGTGAAACCCCGTCTCTACTAAAAATACAACAATTAGCCAGGCATGGTGACACATACCCGTAATCCCAGCTACTTGGGAGGCTAAGACAGGAGAATTGCTTGAACCCAGGAGGTGGAGGTTGCAGCAAGCCAAGATCGCACCACTGCACTCCAGCCTGGGTGACAGAGACAAGACTCTGTCTCAAAAAAAAACAAAAAATAAACAATAATAATTTGCTCACTTAATATTCCCAGAAACAATGCCTTAGCCCGTGTTTGTTCGTTTTGTTTTGTTGGTATTTTTTCTTTTTCTTATTTCTTTCCAGGTGAAGTAGAATTCACCAATTTTTAGGAAGATGTATATTTTCCCCAGGACATGTTAGCTGGTGTTTTCTTCTGTTGTTGACTAGCACTTTTCTGAATCTCTCAAGGTATAGCAAGAGCCGGTTGATGTAAACTATACTTTATAACATCTTATTTTCCAGAACTCCATGAGTGCTGCTGCTGCTTTTGTTGTTGTTGTTGTTTTAAAAGCATACCCCAGCCACCGTTTATGGCATCAAAAGCATTATAAAATATGTGTAATTATTTCTTGAGTACCCCCTTCCTCCTCCTCCTCCTCCTCCTGTCTCCCTCTCTCTGTCTCTCTCTCTGTCTTTCTCTCTGTCTCTCTCTGTCTCTCTCGTCTCTGTCTCTCTGTTGGTGTGTCTCTGTCTGTCTCTGTCTCTCTCTCTCTGTCTCTCTTGCTCTCCCTCCCTCTCTTTCTTTTTAAAATAAGCTCAGGTAGATCTAATCCATTTCCAAGGCCTGAATTCTTAACTTTAGAAACCCCAGATTTCATCTCCATACAGAATCCTGTACAAAACTGACGAGTTGATTTCTGGACTTGGATGCCTAATAGGTATTACCTATTAATAAAGACCCAACCCTAAAATCTGGGTTTGCTTCTCCCTTGACTCACCTGTGATCCAGACTTACCGTCTCAATAAATTGTACCACTGTTCACCTAGGATTCTGGGAGGATTTTCCCAATCTGTATTTCCCCGTGTCCTAAAGGACCCATGACCAAGCCCTGTCCGTTCTGTCTCAAATATGTATCTCCAAACACTTCTCTCAATTTCCACAACTACCCGCAGCCCCTTGTGGAACAACTGGCTCTTTGAAAAACATCCCAGAAGTTGTTTCAGCTTTTTGCTATGAGGCCTAAGCCTGAGGCCTAAGACGCTCTCTGTCTCTTTTTCTCTATCTCTGTCTCCCTCTCTGTCTCTCTCTCTGTGTCTCTCTCTCTTGTCTTTCTGTCTTTGTCTCTCTCTGTCTCTGTCTCTCTCTGTCTCTGTTTCTCTGTCTCTCTGTGTGTGTCTGTCTTTGTCTTTCTCTGTCTGTCTCTCTCTGTGTATTTGTCTCTCTGTGTGTGTCTCTCTCTGTCTCTCTGTCTCCCCCTCTGTCTCAGTGTCTGTCTGTCTCTCTGTCTCTGTCTGTGTCTCTGTCTCTCTCCATCTGTCCATCTCTCTCTGCCTCTGTCTCTCTCTCTCTGTCTCTCCCTCTCTTGGTCTCAGTGTCTCTCTCTGTCTCTGTCTCTCTCTCTCTGTCTGTCTCTCTCTCTCTGTCCATCTCTCTGTCTCTGTCTCTCTTTCTCTGTCACTGTCTCTCTCTCTGTGCATCTGTCTCTTTCTCTCTCTGTGTGTGTGTCTCTCTCTCTGTCTCTCTCCTTTCCTCTCTTTCTTTTTAAAATAAGTTCAGGTAGATCTAATTCATTTTCAAGGCCTGAATTCTTAACTTTAGAAACCCCAGATTTGATCTACATACAGAATCCTGTACAGAACTGGCAAGTTGGTTTCTGGACTTGGATACCTCATAGATATTACATATTAATAGAGACCCAACCCTAAAATCTGGGTTTGCTTCTCCCTTGACTCAGCTGTGACCCAGACATTCTATCTCGATTTTTTTTTAAAGGAAGAATTTATTTAAATCATTTTTATATTTAGTATATATTCATAAATTCTTATTTTATTTTATTAAATAGATTAAAATATGTTACTGTTCTAATTTATGTTGATGATAAATTTGTATCAGATTTAGCCAAAGGGAGCTCTTCAATCTTGTTCCAAGATCCTTTTGACATGTTCCTATCATTATTTGAGCACTTTCTTACTGAAAACAGTTGTGAAGGAAGAGTTGTAATTTCCCAGGAAAATAAAAGGATGAGAGAAAAATTACTCTAGGCAGAAACAGCATCATATGCTATGGCAGAAAACTATGAAATAGTACAGTGTATTCTGATATCTACAATATTATCAATTTTCTGAGTGATGGAATAATGAGAGATGAGACTGAAAGGAAAGCAAATAAGGGTTTTATATACTATTCTAAGGAACTGAAATTTTATCCTGTAAGTGATAATCAACTATTGATATAAATTATGAAGCTAACATTTTGGGACAGCAATGCCTATTTTATCATCTTTATGTACAGAAATCTCAGGAGAACTTCCATATTTTTTAATCAGCCCTAGTAAATAATAATTCTTTCAGCTATGCTTTTTTGGTTTTGTCAGAAATGCTTTGAGGCTCATTGTCTTGAATAAGCAAGTAGAAAAGTTGTAAAACTATTAGATTGAAGACAATATGAAAATTATTTTCAGATGTACAAAGTGCCCTGTAGTCCTGAGCCTACAAACTCTACCATTGCCAGTGTTTCCCTAGAGCTTTGGAACCACTTTCTCCTAATTGGAGAGAGTTATATGAAAGTCTAAATGCTTTGTATATCTGAACACACATTCTTTAAATTACCAAGGACCCTAACTATTTAAGCTGACCATATTACTATTACCTATCTTTGCTCTTTAAGTTTCCTAGGAAAGCTATTCCTTATCTTAGGCGGTTTGCTCTTCAGAAAGATCCAGGAAATAGAAATACAAGGAATTGAAGCTGCAAATACCATGTGGAATAGAGGCAGTAATATTAATAGGAACAGAACAAGTCTCCTGATATTTGCAGTATATCCAAAAAATGAATAATGATTTACACTTTATGTAGTTTAGGGAGCTTTTCTACTGCTTGTTTTGAAAAATGAAGTTTCTTGAGGTTCTGAATTTAATCAAGAAGGACCTGCATGAACATCAGAACATCTTGTTTCTGCTATGTTCTCTCCTATGATCAAAGGCATCTTTTCTTCATTTATTTTGTGTGTGTGTGTGTTTGTGTGTGTGTGTGTGTGTGTGTGTGTGTTTGTTTTTTTTTTTTTTTTTGAGACAGAGTCTCACTCTGTTGCCCAGGCTGGAGTGCAGTGGTGCAATCTCGGCTCACTGCAACCTCTGCCTCCCGGATTCAAGGAATTCTCGTGCCTCAGCCTTCTGAGTAGCTGGGACTACAGGCTCCTGACACCATGCATGACTAATTTTTTGTATTTTAACAGTAATGGGGTTTCACCATGTTACCCAGAGTGGTCTCAAACTCCTGAGTTCAGGCAGTCCACCTGTGTCAGCCTCCCAAAGTGTTAGGATTACAGACATGAGCCATTGCACCCGACCCATTTCCTTTTCATTTTAAAAATGGATTTTCAGGGAAGGCCGGTCATGGTGGCTCACACCTGTAATCCTAACACTTTGGGAGGCCAGGGGTTTGAAACCAGTCTGAGCAACATAGGGAGACCCCATCTGTGCAAAACATCAGAAAATTAGCCAGGTATGGTGGTGTGCACCTGTGGTGCCAGCTACTCGATGGGGTGAGACAGGAGGATCATTTGAGCCAGCAGGTCAAAGTTGCAGTGAGCCGTGATCACGCAACTGCACTCCAGCCTGAGCAACAAAGCCAGACCCTGTCTCAAAACCAAGATGAAACATTGTATATTAAGAACTGACTGGTTTAAGAGGATGCATTTTAACTGAGAAAAATAATTTCATTGGTATAAATAGCTCCATTTCAAGATGACCACACCACAAAAAAAGGTTACTGATAGATAACAAAGATCCATATTGTTACTCTGCTCAGTAGAAAGGAATCCATTTGTACTTTCTGTGACCCTTTGGAGGCTTTCTACATCATAGATAGTGTCATTAGTATTTAACCATGTCTTTGATGATGACAATCCTGAGTGAACCCCTATTCATTTTGCGCTGAGTTCTTACATAGTCTTTTCAGTGATTATAACTGTACCATGGAGGATAGGAAATCTCACTAACATTTTTATTACTTCCTCTGCAAAAATTCTGAACTAAAATATAGTCAACCTCATCTCTGGACTAAACTGGAAAATGTAAGAGACAAGTTAAGTTGTACTTATGGAACTGTAGGCTCATTAGAGAAACCTGTAGCATCAATTTGTGCCCACTTTAGAATAGCTTTAATCCTACAAATCTACTTAAGAAAAGTAAACCCATTGCAGGGGAATGCTGTCAGTTTAGATGTTATAATAATTCAGTCTGTCACTCTTAGCTCCTTAGCTCAGTTCAGACAGCTATAGTGGGGAAGATGTCTAGACTCCCTCCCCTACCTCTGCCCCAACTCTCAAATAAAAATCCTATATCCTAAAGAACCTTGTAGTTTATTTTTACCAAACAAGCTAGTCTACCTGCAAATTAACAGTAACAGTGATATCACCAGGTAATTTTAATATTGTAAATTAAAGTGAGTATTCTCTTGAATGCTATGATCTTCTCAGTGGGACATGTATTTTCACATGTTTTGTAATACATATGAGTTTAATAAAGCTAATGCCCTCGCAGATTCTCTTTGTGACCATTAGTAATCATTTGTAAGGTAGCTATCAGAATATATTTGTGGCCATGAAATAGTTTTGCTTCATAGGAAACTATTTTTTCTATCCAAAAGTAAAACTTATTTTTCATTATAACCTTACCTTTTTTAAAATGTTTCATTCCTTCCTTTCCTGTTTCTGCCTAAAGGGGTTTTATGGGCTACCGGCTGCTAGGTGATAACTCACTGGGGCCTTCAAGAGGAAAAAGTGCATACTTTTTTCTCAATTTTTTTTTCTCTTCTAACAAACTTCTGTTCTACAGTCACAATCAACAAGAGAAACAATCAACATTTTTTGGTCCTTTTTCCTGCTGATTAAGTTTGTTGTTGTTGTTGTTGTTGTTGTTGTTGTTTTGAGAGAGAGTCTCACCGTGTCGCCCAGGCTGGAGTGCAGTGGCACCATCTCGGCTCACTGCAAGCTCCGCCTCCCGGGTTCACGCCTTTCTCCTGCCTCAGCCTCCGGAGTAGCTGGGACTACAGGCGCCCGCCACCACACCCGGCTAATTTTTTTGTATTTTTAGTAGAGACGGGGTTTCACCGTGTTAGCCAGGATGTTTTCTAATGGCCCAAGACAGTAAGAGGTGCTTTGGGTTTGTAATTTACAAAATAAGAGAAGTCTGTGACAACTTTTTTTTTTTTTTGAGACAGAGTCTCGCTCTGTTGCCAGGCTGGAGTGCAGGGGCGTGATCTCAGCTCACTGCAACCTCCGCCTCCTGGGTTCAAGCAATTCTTCTGCCTCAGCCTCCCGAGTAGCTGGGACTACAGGCATGCGCCACCACGACCAGCTAATTTTTGTATTTTTAGTAGAGACGGGGTTTCACCATGTTGGCCAGGATGGTCTTGATCATTTGACCTCGTGATCCGCCCACCTCAGCCTCCCAAAGTGCTGGGATTACAGGCGTGAGCCACCGCGCCCGGCTGAAGTAGGTTTTTTTATTGGCGAAGTAGCTAATTACTGTATAATTTGGGGTGAGTCTTGAGTGGGAAGAAGCCTCGTGGCACATAAAAAGGTGCTTAATTGATATTGAAAACACACGCACGCACACACATGCATGCACACACAACCCTACCTGCTGATGTGCCAGAGAATTACAATACTCCTCCTTTGAGACATTGCTTTTAGTTAATTTGTTATATATCCAAAGGTCCTTGTGTTAACATGCAAATAGTTTAACCAAGGACCGGTATCAATCCAATAGCACCACAGTATGTTAATTTCTTCAATTAAGTTATTCCACAATGTATGCATATCTCAAAACATCATGGTATACACCATGCATATATAAAATTTTTGCCAATTAAAAATAAATTTTAAATAAAATGTTTATACTATAGGTCTATAAAAAAGTACAAATTATTTTTCCGGTGAGGTAATCACTTTATGACAAAGACTTTATAAATATTCAGTGGCTTAGAGAAGTAAAATGACAGCAGAAAGCACTGCTTTACTTTTTGCTTCCCAATTTTGGACTTTGTTTGAAAGATTTGCCATTCATTAAATACCCCAAGTATTTACTGAGTATCTACTATAAGTGTAAGGAAGGCACTATTCTAAAAGTGACAGAGAATACAAAGATTAATAAGACATAGGCTCTGTCTTCAATGAGTTTACCATCTACTAGCAGAGGTAAGGCAAATATTTAAATATCTATAGCATAAGATGGAGAGTGATAGATACCAGAAGACAAATATAAACAAGGTATAACATTACTTTAGTGATGGAAGAGATTATTCCTGCCAGTAGATAACCATACTGCAATTTCCAAACAACAAGAAAAAAAAACAAGGAGGGGCCAAGATGACCAACTAAAAACAGCTACGGTTGGAGGCTCCCACGTAGAAGAATGAAAACAGCGAGTAAATCCTATGCCAGCAACTTGAGGTATCCAGGTTCTCTCACTAGGACTGACCAGGCAGTTGGTGCAACCCATGGTAAGTGAGGAAAAGCAGAGTGGAGTGACAGCCAACCCAGGATCCACACAGGGGAAGGGGAACTCCCACTCCCAGCCAAGGGAGGTAGTGAGTGATTGTGCTACCCCGCCTGGGGAACCATGCTTTTTCCATGGATCTGTGCAACCCACAGATCAGGAGATTCCCCTCATAAGTCCACACCACCCAGGCCTTGGTTCCCAAGCACAGAACTGTGCAGATTCTTGGCAGCCGCTCAGGTGGAGACTGCCTAAGACAACCAAGTTCCTAGGGGAGGGGGCGGCTGCCATCACTGCAGCTGCCTGCTGCCAGAGATGACTGAGCTCCCAGTGGGAGGAGTGGCTGCCATCACTGCAACTGCCTGCTGCCAAGACAACTGAGCTCCTGCGGGGAGAGACGGCTGCCATCACTGCAGCTCCAGTCTGCCAGTTTAGAGAGGAAAATAAATAACCTGATGGAGCTGAAAAACACAACACAAGAACTTCATAATACAACCACAAGTATCAATAGCTGGATAGACCAAGGGAAGGAAGGAATTTCGGAGCTTGAAGACTATCTTGCTGAAATAAGACAGGCAGACAAGATTAGAGAAAAAAGAATGAAAAGGAATGAACAAAACCTCTGAGAACTATGGGATTATGTAAAAAGACCAAACCTACAACTGATTGGGGTACCTGAAAGAGATGGGAGAATGGAACCAAGTTGGAAAACGTACATCAGGATATCATCCAGAACTTCCCCAACCTAGCAAGATAGGCCAACATTCAAATTCAGGAAATCCAGAGAACCACAGTAAGATACTCCATGAGAAGAAAGGTCATCCCCAAGACACATAATCATCAGATTCTCCAAAGTAAAAATGAAGGGAAAGTATTAAGGGCAGCCAGAGAAAAAGGCCAGGTTACCTATAAAGGGAAGCCCATCAGACTAACAGTGGACCTCTCAGCAGAAACCCTACAAGCCAGAAGAGATTGGGGGCCAATATTCAGTATCCTTAAAAGAAAGAATTTCCAACCCAGAATTTCATAACCAGCCAAACTAAACTTCGTAAAGTGAAGGAAAAATAAAATCCTTTTCAGAAAAACAAATACTGAGGGAATTTGTCACCACCAGGCCTGCCTTGCAGGAGCTCCTGAGAGAAGCACTAAATATGGAAAGAAAAAACCAATACCTGCCACTACAAACACACACTAAAGTACACAGACCAATGACGCTTCGAAGCAACTACATCAACAAGTCTGCAAAATAACCAGCTAGCATCATGATGACAGGATCAAATTCACAAATATATTAACCTTAAATGTAAATGAGCTAAATGCCTCCAGTTGAAAGACACAGAATGGCAAGCTGGATAAAGAGTCAAGACCCATCAATGTGCTGTATTAAAGAGACCCATCTCATGTGCAAAGACACACATAGGCTCAAAATAAAGAGATGGAGGAAATTTTACCAAGCAAATAGCAGAGAAAACCAGGGGTTGCAATCCTAGTGTTAAAGTCTTACAAAACAGACATTAAACCAAAAAAAAAAAAAGATCAAAAAAGACAAGGGCATTACATAACGGTAAAGGGCTCAATTCAACAAGAAGTGCTAACTATCCTAAATATACAGGAGGACCTAGATTCATAAAACAAGTTCTTAGAGACCTACAAAGAGACTTAGACTCCCACACAATAATAGTGGGAGGCTTTAATACTGCACTGTCAATATTAGATCACTGAGACAAAAAATTAACAAAGATATTCAGGACCCAAACTCAACTCTGGATCAAGTGGACCTGACAGATATCTACAGAACTCTCCACCCAAAAACAACAGAATATATATTCTTCTTTGTGCCATATGGCACTTACTCCTAAAAAGATTGCATAATTGGAAGTAAAACACTCCTAACAAATGCCAAACAACTGAAATCAGAAGAAACAGTCTCTCAGACCACAGTGCAATAAAATTAGAACTCAAGGTTAAGAAACTCACTCAAAACCACACAACTACATGGAAATTAAGCAACCTGCCCCTGAATGACTCCTGGATAAATAACGAAATCAAGGCAGAAATCAAGAAGTTCTTTGAAACCAATGAGAATAAAGAGACATCATGCCAGAACCTCTGGGACGCAGCCAAAGCAGCGTTAAGAGGGCAAGTTATAGCACTAAATGCCCACATCAGAAAGTTAAAAGATCTCAAATTGACGTCCTAATATCAAAATTAAAAGAACTAGAGAACCAAGAGCAAAAAAGAAAAAAAAAAGGCCAAAGCTAGCAGAAGACAAGAAATAACCAAGATCAGAGCAGAACTGAAGGAGATAGAGACACGAAAAACCTTAAAAAAAATCAATGAATCTAGGAGCTGGTTTGTTTTTTTTTTTTTTGGAAAAAAAAATTAATAAAATAGACTACTAGCTAGACTAATAAGGAAAGAGAGAAGAATCAAATAGACACAATAAAAAATGATAAAGGGGATATCACCACTGACCCCACAGAAATATGAACAACCATCAGAGAATACTATAAACACCTCTATGCAAATAAACTAGAAAATCTAGAAGAAATGGATAAATTCCTAGACACACACACCCTCGCAAGACAGAACCAGGAAGAAGTTGAATCTCTGAATAGACAATAACAAGTTCTGAAATTGAGGCAGTAATTAATAGCCTACCAACCAAAAAAAGCCCAGGACCAGATGGATTCACAGCCGAATTCTACGAGAGGTACAAAGAGGAGCTGGTACCATTTCTTCTGAAACTATTCTAAACAACTGAAAAGGAGGGACTCCTCTCTGACTCATTTTATGAGGCCAGCATCATCCTGATATCAAAACCTGGCAGAGATACAACAAAAAAAGAAAACTTCAGGCCAATATCCCTGATGATCATTGATGCAAAAATTCTCAATAAAATACTGACAAACCGAATCCAGCAGCACATCAAAAAGCTTATCCACATGATCAAGACAGCTTCATCCCCAAGATACAAGGCTGGTTCAACATATGCAAATCAATAAACGAGATTTATCACATAAACAGAACTAAACACAAAAACCGCATGATTATCTCAATAGACACAGAAAAGGCCTTTGATAAAATTCAACTTCCCTTCATGTTAAAAACTTTCAATAAACTAGGTATTGTTGGAACATACCTCAAAATATAAGAGCAATTTATGACAAACCCACAGCCAATATCATACTGAATGGGAAAAAGCTCAAAGCATTCCCCTTGAAAATCAGCACAAGACAAGGATGCCTTCTCTCACCACTCCTATTCAACATAGAATTGGAAATTCTGGCCAGGGCAATCAGGCAAGAGAAAGAAATAAAGCATATTCAGATAGGAAGAGAGGAAGTCAAGCCATCTGTTTGCAGATGACATACTCCTATATCTGAAAACCCCATCATCTCAGCCCCAAAGCTTCTTAAGCTGATAAGCACCTTCAGCAAAGTACAAAATCAATGTGCAAAAATCACAAGCATTCCTATACACCAGCAGTAGACAAGCAGGAAGCCAAATCATGAATGAATTCCCTTTCACAGTTGCTAAAAAGAGAAAAAATACCTAGGAATACAGCTAACAAGGGAAGTGAAGGACCTCTTCAAGGAGAACTACAAACTGCTGCTCAAGGAAATCAGAGAGCACACAAACAAATGGAAAAACATTCCACGCTCATGGATGGGAAGAATCAATATCATGAAAATGGCCATACTGCCCAGAGTAATTTATAGATTCAATGCTGTTCCCATTAAACTACCCTTGACATTTTTCACAGAATTAGAAAAAAACTACTTTAAAGTTCATATGGAACCAAAAAAGAGCCTATATAATGAAGACAATCCTAAGCAAAAAGAACAAAGCTGAAGGCATCACATATCTGACTTCAAACTCAACTACAAGGCTATAGTAACCAAAATAGATGGTAGTAGTACAAAAACAGACACATAGACCAGTGGAACAGAATATAGAAGTCAAAACTAAGACTGCACATCTACAGCCATGTGATCTTCAACAAACCTGACAAAAGCAATGGGGAAAGGATTTGCTATTTAATAAATGGTGCTGGGAGAACTGGCTAGCCATATGCAGAAAATTGAAACCGGACCCTTTCCTTATACCTTATACAAAAGTTAAGTCAAGATGGATTAAATATTTAAATGTAAAACCCAAAACTGTAAAAATCCTAGAAGAAAATCTAGGCAATACCATTCAGGACATAGATACGGACAAAGATTTCGTGACAAAAACGTCAAAAGCAATTGCAACAAAAGCAAAAATTGACAAATGAGATCTAATTAAAGAGCTTCTGCACAGCAAAAGAAACTGTCATCAGAGTGAAGAGACAAACTACAGAATGGGAGAAAATTATTGCAATCTATCCCTCAGACAAAGGTCTAATATCCAGAATCTACAAGAAAAAAATAACCCCATTTAAAAGTGGGCAAAGGATATGTACAGACACTTCTCAAGAGAAGATATACATGCAGCCAACAAACATGGAAAAAAGCTCAACATCACTGATCATTAGAGAAATGCAAATCAAAAACACAATGAGATACCATCTCAGGCCAGTCAGAATGGCAATTATTAAAAAGTCAAGAAACAACAGATGCTGGCAAGGCTGTGGAGAAATGGGAACTCTTTTACACTGTTGGTAGTTCAACCATTGTGGAAGACAGTGTGGTGATTCCTCAAAGACCTAGAACTAGATATACCATTTGATCCAGCAATCCCATTACTGGGTATATACCCAAAGGAATATAAATCATTCCTTTGTAAAGATACATGCATGCGTATGCTCATTGCAGCATTTATTCACAATAGCAAAGACGTGGAATCAACCCAAACGCCTATCAATGATAGACTGGATAAAGAAAATGTGGTACCTATGTGTCCAGAATTGGTGAGTTCTTGGTCTCGCTGACTTCAAGAATGAAGCCGCGGACCCTCGCAGTGAGTGTTACAGTTCTTAAAGATGGTGTGTCCGGAGTTTGTTCCTTCAGATGTTCAGATGTGTCCAGAATTTCTTCCTTCTGGTGGGTTCGTGATCTCACTGACTTCAGGAGTGAAGCTGCAGACCTTCACAGTGAGTGTCACAGCTCTTAAAGGTGGCACGGCTGGAGTTGTTCATTCCTTCCAGTGGGTTCGTGGTCTTGCTGGCTTCAGGAGTGAAGCTGCAGACCTTCACCGTGAGTGTTACAGCTCTTAAAGGCAGCACGGACCCAAAGAGTGAGCAGCAGCAAGATTTATTGTGAAGAGTGAAAGAACAAAGCTTCCACAGCATGGAGGGGGACCCCAGCAGGTTGCTGCTGCTGGCTTGGGCAGCCTGCTTTTATTCCCTTATCTGACCTCACCCACATCCTGCCAATTGGCCCATTTTACAGAGAGCTGATTGGTCCGTTTTCACAGGTTGCTGATTGGTGCGTTTACAAACCTTGAGCTAGACACAGAGTGCTGATTGGTGCATTTACAATCCTTTAGCTAGACACAAAAGTTCTCCAAGTCCCCACTAGATTAGCTAGACACAGAGCACTGATTGGTGCATTTACAAACCTTGAGCAAGACGCAGAGCACTGATTGGTGCATTTATAAACCTTGAGCTAGACACAGAGTGCTGATTGGTGTGTTTATAATCCTTTAGCTAGACACAGAGTGCTGATTGGTGGATGTACAATCCGCTAGCTAGACATAAAAGTTCTCTAAGTCCCCACCAGATTAGCTAGATACAGAGCGCTGATTGGTGCATCCACAAACCCGAGCTAGACACAGAGTGCTGATTGGTGCATATACAATCCTCCAGCTAGACATAAAAGTTCTCCAAGTCCCCACCAGACTCAGGAGCCCAGCTGGCTTCACCTAGTGGATCACACGCCAGGGCCGTGGGTGGAGCTGCCCACCAGACCCACACCACGTGCCCACACTCAGCCCTTGGGCAGTCCATGGGACTGGGCGCTGTGGAGCAGGGGGTGGCACCTGTCGTGGCAGGAGCCCACAGTGGGGGTGGGGGGGGGTCACTCAGGCATGGCGGGCTGCAGGTCCTGAGCCCTGCCCCGCAAGGAGGCGGCTGAGGCCCAGCGAGAATTCGAGCGGGCGCTCGCGGGTCGGCAATGCTGGGAGACCCAGCACACCCTCCGCAGCTGCTGGCCTGGGGGCTAAGCCCCTCACTGCAGGGCCCGCCGTACCCACGCCCACCCAGAACTCGTGCTGGCCCGCAAGTGCCACCCACAGCCCCAGTTCCCACCCACGCCTCTCCCTCCACACCTCCCTGCAAGCAGAGGGAGCCGGCTCTGGCCTCGGCCAGCCCAGAGAGGGGTTCCCACAGTGCAGCGGCAGGCTGAAGGGCTTAAGTGCAGCCAGAGTGGACGTGAGGCCAAGGAGGTGCCAAGAGTGAGTGGGGGCTGCTAGCATATTGTCACCTCTCACCTATACACCATGGAATGCTATGCAGCCGTAAAAAGGAATGAGATCATGTCCTTTGCAGGGACAGGGAGGGAGCTGGAAGCCATTATCCTCAGTAAACTAACACAGGAACAGAAAACCAAACACTGCATGTTCTCACTTAAAGTGGGAGTTGAACAACAAGAACACATGGGCACATGGGTGGGGGGGGCAACAGCACACACTGGGTCCTGTCAGAGGGTTGCAGGGAAGGAGAGCATCAGAAAGAATAGCTGGGCCTAATACCTAGGTAATGGATTGATCCGTGCAGCAAACCACCATGGCACAAGTTTACCTATGTAACAAACCTGCACATCCTGCACATGTATCCTGGAACAGTAAATAAAATAAGTAAAATAAAAAAATAAAACTTAACAGAACCATCAGGTGGTTTACTACCCTCTTTTTCTTTCTCCTTCTTTTCTTGCTTCCTTCCTTCCTTCCTCTTTCTCTTTCTTGTTCTCTTTCTCTTTCTTTCATTTTCTTACCTTTCTGCTGGACTGTTACATTCTTCATGGCAGGATATATTTTACTGTCAGTATCCCAAGTCCCTAACTGTTTCTGGTTCATAAAATGCAGTCAGTAAATATTTGTTGAATGGGTATGTGTATCACTGATCATCAAACTTGCTGTTTAATAAGAAAATGCCTATTACAAAGCATATTCAACAGATAAAACCTATGTAACTAAAAAGTAGAATTTTCTTCTCAGAAACTAAACATATTTTTAAAAGAAACTTTTGTAAGATTATATCCAGTTTGCACCATAAAGTGCAGCCTATCACAAAAAAAAACTGTCTGATCTGAGACCTATAAAGCTGAATAAGAAGCAGAAGCAGCAATATCATTCTGCCTAGTTACACTGGTTGTGAATGATTTTTTTATATTTGAATGAGTAGGTCAAGACCTCAATGAAAATGAGTTATAAATAAGTTTATATTTCAATCCTTTTTTAAGTGTTCACCCACAATTTGAATAGAAAATTCTGTCTAGCAATAAATAATCTCTAAGGTTTTTCAAACTTTGAAAATTTTGCGATTTTGATTGACCATGAGAAGAAATCACATATTAATAGTATAAGCAACTTTGTATATATTTTTCTTAGGTGCCTATGACAATGTCATTAGTCTTAGAATGAAAACCCTTTGGGGTAGTGCCTTTAAGTCAGTTCATTGAACATGTCTGGAGCAGCCACTGGGTTTTGACACATGATGTAACATTGCTAACTTGATTTAATGTTCCACCAGAGCAGGCTGTATTTTGGAGGCAGGAGAAACAGTTTCTTACCTGCTAATCTTCATCTGGGGACATTTGAAATTGGGAGTTGTGATATTATAAGTCATTGCCACTTTTTAATCAGTGTTACAGCATCATATTCTTAGTTAATTATCTTACTGTTTAGGTCACAGTGCTGTCGATATCACCAAGGTGGCTAGAAGACATCGCATGTCTCCTTTTCCTCTGACATCTATGGACAAAGCCTTTATCACAGTCCTGGAGATGACTCCGGTGCTTGGGACAGAAATCATCAATTACCGAGGTACTATTATATTTGACCATTGCCCTTTCTTTTCTTCATTTTTTTCCAAATAAGATTCATGTAACATTAATGCACAGTTTTCCTGAAAAAGAAAGATTATTAACCATTATTACAGTTATCATCATTCTTTTTTTTTCTTATTTCTACTCAATAAGAAAAAGGCTAAGGGTTCAGCCTTAACAGTATACAGAGTAAAATCCATGAAACTGCCTTTTCATTAAAAAAAGGAAAAAAAAAAAAAAAGGAAGAAAATCAGCTGTGTTTCTGCTGTCCATGAAAATACCAATACTGCAAACTAAAGAAAGGGTTCTCAGCACTGAGTGAGGAAAGTAGTTAACTCTGAGTCTGTATGATGTCCTTTCTGTCAGAAATGGGAGACAACTAATATGTCTTGTAATCATCTTTTTCTGTTTGGAAAACCTGTATTTAAATGTAAAAATGTAAAAAAAAATATTAATTTATCCATGGATACTAAGACAACGGAAAGGTAGCATTCCCCAGTATTTTGTTTTTAATTAACAACTTCCATTTCTAAAAATTCAGCATAGGAGTTGTATTTAGGCATCCAGTTCCAGGAGACCAGGCTCCTGAGGAGAACTTCCAGCCAATAAAGCTTGTGGTTTCTCCCCAACACCAAAAAGAGAAGTTGTATTTAGTGCAATTTGAATAAAATATAGTTTCTTAATTTGTTATGCAGAAACAACACAACAGAATTAATTTTATAAATAAAAAACTTTATAGAATCATAAAATATTCAAACTACAATGAACAGTAGAGAGCACAAACACCCTAATTTTTTTGTCAAGGAAACTCAAACTCAGAATAGCAGAAAATGAATAGGATTAAGGTCTCAAGATTTACATTCTTCCTTTTACTACATAATTGTGCTCTTCTTCAACCATTAAATTATAAAAAATAATGGCAGCTAACTTACTGGTGCCAGATTTTAGCTCTTTCGTCTGTGTCCCCACTTAGACAAGGATTGTTATTATACAGTTTGCCCTTATCCTACGTCTTTGGTTCACATTCTTTTAGATATGCATATCATTAGGCTTAAATCGTTTGTTTTTCTTTTACTCCTCAATAAAGGAAAGATTAGAAAACTCACTAGAGTAGGGGATTAGTCAGGAATTAACTATGTGATTTCAGAACAATTTTAATGGAATAGTTTTGTTTATTATTAAAGGTAGAATGTTGAGATATTTATTGGTATCAGTAGAAACCAAGACATTTTCAGAAAATATGAATGTAAACTTAAGTTATAAAAAAATTAATAATACTTTACCTGTTATAAAAATAAATAAACCATCCCTGGTTTTTTCTTTTTTATAATTTCAGAGGAGTTTCCCTTAACATCAGTCCTTAGAAAAATCTCACCATGTATTCCAGGTCACATTTAAAGAGACATTCTAATTTAAAAAAAAAAAAAAAAGAGTTGGAAATTGCCATTTCATTTTTCCTCCAGAGAAAAATGCTGTCATATGTATTCTCTTTTCCCTTCATGTGCTTGTTTCCCATTCATTTGTTCATCAAATCAGTTGTCACTTGTACTTGAGCAGACTCTTCATAGATGGATAACTTTTTGTCAAGTGTTTCCACCTATGATGATGAAAAATAATAATGAGGTTCACATTAAACCTTTGAATTGGATCAAACTCAATTTTTTGTGCAAATGGGTATTGTAATTAGACCCCCTAGGCACTTTGATTAGGTGTTTAGAAACCATCATACATAGAAACTTAATTTACTTTGTTCAACAAATATTTAATAAACATCAAGTAAATGTCAGATACTATGTTAAGTCCTGTATTTGCAAAGATGAATAAAAATAAAACTCCTGCCCCATGGATTTCATAGGCTAGTGCAGAAGAGATGGGTAAATTAATGTGGTACTTGTCTCCTTTAATTGGCTCCTTTACAGGCTTGCCTTCCTTTGTCAATTCCTTGAAAAGCTTTCTTTACAGTTTTTTTTCTTTGGCTCTTTTCACATCTTGTCCATTGACTTCAGATGGCCTCATGCAGGCTAGTAGTTTCAGATACCATTTATAAAGTGAATTGTAAGTCTATACCATTGCCCAGAGCTTGTCCAAGCTCCAAACTCATATTCTAAATGTATTATGTATCTGCTGCCAGTAAATATAACATGACAAATACTAAACTTATTTTGTCGACAATACTTGTTTTTCTACATCCTCTTAAAACTGTCCCTTGTTCTACATTCCCTCTGTTACTGTTTTAGTTTAGGTGTTTTTTTTCTTTTTTTTATTTTTCTGAGATGGAGTTTTGCTCTTGTTGCCCAGTCTGGAGTGCAATGGCACGATCTCGGTTCACGGCAACCTCCACTTCCCAGGTTCAAGTGATTCTCCTGCCTCAGCCTCCTGAGTACCTGGGATTACAGGCATGCACCACTATGCCCAGCTAATTTTGTATTTTTAGTAGAGATGGGGTTTCTCCATGTTGGTCAGGCTGGTCTCGAACTCCCAGTCTCAGGTGATCCACCCACCTCGACCTCTCAAAGTGCTCACAGGAGTGAGCCAATGCGCCTGGCCCAGTTTAGGTCTTTATTATTAACTTCCTGGACAATTGTTATAGGCTCCCCTCCCCCCAGTTAACATCTTCCCAATCCGTTCTCCAATTTGATGCCAAAGTAATCTGTTCAAATTTGCTAATTCGTTATTAACACTCCCTACACGCAACTCTTCAGCAGTTTTTTCATAACCTCAAGATAAAATTCAAACTCCTTAACATGTCATGAAAGGCCCTTTATAATCTGATTTCTTCTAATATTTTTGTTTCTTCTCTTACCTCCTTATCATCAGACCTTGCTTCTCCCTAAACCTGACATGATGATTCTTACTTCTTATTCTCTCTTACCTCTAAGGCTTTATTTATATATCCTTTTTTTTTAAGAGACTAGGTCTCACTATGTTTCCCAGGCTGGCCCTCAACTCTCAGCCTCAAGCGATCCTCTCGCCTTAGCCTCCCAAAGTACTAGTATTACAGGCATAAGCCACCATGCCTGGCCCCTTTGCTTATATAGTTTTTGCTTGGAAAAACTTTATCTTACTTCTCTACATATTAACTACTGCCTAACTACCACATATTCTTTAAGATCAAGCTTAAGATGCTTCTCCTTTATGAAGAAGTCTTTCCTGATGTCTGCTTCCCCCTTTCCCTAGCTGAGTTAAACACTCTTCATTCGTGTTCCCATAGCACCTTCTTCATATGTTTTGTAAGACAACTGACTGAAATATTTGTTCACTATTAATTTTAAATGCCCTAATAAATAACATGGATATAAAAAAAAAGCAGAGTTCTGTAAGTGTGAATCACTGTAAATTGAATTGTCATAAGTAAAATAAAGCCTAGAAAAAAAGGTAGAAGTTCATTCTCACTACACTTTAGAATATTTTCTTTACCAAGTGTATTTGCGTTTTAATGAGCAAACCTTTATAGTTTGTTTTGATTTCAGCTAGATGTACCTCTAAACTATTTAATATCATTCATTAATCACTGAGTAGGAAAAAGTATTTGGGGGAACCAAAAGGCCTTCACATTCTATGAAATTACAAATACTTTGCCTCTGCAAACACTCTAACACCTGCAATCACAGAAGCCCTTAGAGGAAAGCCAGTGTTTTGTAAGGAAAATCTAGGACCAACTGAATCCATGCATTTGAAGCTGTGACATCTCTAAAATGATTTTTATATGTCTAAGAAGGTTCAATAATAATCCCAGAAAACTAAGGACTTAACATGTAGAGAAAATGCTGAAAGTGATTGTTGTGAAGGTCATAGACACAGGGAACTCTATGAAGGAATTTCAGAGTATAGTACATGAAACACTTTAGATATAATAGTAAGACTAAGAGGGTAACTTGAGATCAAATGAGCATTTTTTCTTGTGTCTGTTGGCTGCATAAATGTCTTCTTTTGAGAAGTGTCTGTTCATATCCTTTGCCCACTTTTTGATGGGTTGTTTGGTTTTTTTCTTGTAAATTTGTTTAAGTTCTTTTAGTAGATTCTGGATATTAGCCCTTTGTCAGATGGGCAGATTGCAAAAATTTTCTCCCATTCTGTAGGTTGCCTATTCACTCTGATGGTAGTTTCTTTTACCGTGCAGAAAGTTCTTTAGTTTAATTAGATCCCATTCATCAATTTTGCTTTTGTTGCCATTGCTTTTTGTGCTTTAGTCATGAAGTCCTTGCCCATGCCTATGTCCTGAATGGTATTGCCTAGGTTTTCTTCTAGGATTTTTATGGTTTTAGGTCTAACATTTAAGTCTTTAATCCATCTTGAATTAATTTTTGTATAAGGTATAAGGAAGATCCAGTTTCAGCTTTCCAGTTTCAGCTTTCTACATATGCCTAGCCAGTTTTCCCAGCACCATTTATTAAATAGGGAATCCTTTCCCATTTCTTGTTTTTGTCAGGATTGTCAAAGATCAGATGGTTGTAGATGGGTGGTGTTATTTCTGAGGCCTCTGTTCTGTTCCATTGGTCTATATATCTGTTTTGGTACTAGTACCATGCTGTTTTGGTTACTGTAGCCTTGTAGTGTAGTTTGAAGTCTGGTAGTGTGATGCTTCCAGCTTTGTTATTTTTGCTTAGGATTGTCTTGGCAATGAGAGCTCTTTTTTGGTTCCATGTGAGCTTTAAAGTAGCCTTTTCCAATTCTGTGAAGAAAGTCATTGGTAGCTTGATGGGGTTGGCATTGAATCTATAAATTACCTTGGGCAGTATGGCCATTTTCATGATATTGATTCTTCTATCCATGAGCATGGAATGTTCTTCCATTTGTTTGTGTCCTCTTTTATTTCATTGAGCAGTAATTTGTAGTTCTCCTTGAAGAGGTCCTTCACATCCCTTGTAAATTGGATTCCTAGGTATTTTATTCTCTTTGTATCAATTGTGAATGGGAGTTCACTCGTGATTTGGCTCTCCATGTGTCTGTTATTGGTGTATAGGAATGCTTGTGATTTTTGCAGGTTGATTTTGTATCTTGAGACTTTGCTGAAGTTGCTTATCAGCTTAAGGAGATTTTGGGCTGAGACGATGGAGTTTTCTAAATAGACAATCATGTCATCTGCAAACAGAGACAATTTGACTTCCTCTTTTCCTAATTGAATACCTTTTATTTCTTTCTTTTGCCTGATTGTCCCTGGCCAGAACTTCCAACACCATGTTGAATAGGAGTGGTGAGAGAAGACATCCTTGTGTTGTGCTGGTTTTCAAAGGGAATGCTTCCAGTTTTTGCCCATTCAGTATGATATTGGCTGTGGGTTTGTCATAAATAGCTCTTATTATTTTGAGATGCATTCCATCAATACCTAGTTTATTGAGAGTTTTTAGCATGAAGGGCTGTTGAGTTTTGTCGAAGGCCTTTTCTGCATCTATTGAGATAATCATGTGGTTTTTGTCATTGGTTTGGTTTATGTGATGGATTACGTTTATTGATTTGCATTTTTTGAACCAGCCTTTCATCTCAGGGATGAAGCCGACTTGATCGTGGTGGATAAGCTTTTCGATGGGCTGCCGGATTCGGTTTGCCAGTATTTTATTGAGGATTTTTGCATCGATGTTCTTCAGGGATATTGGTCTAAAATTCTCTTTTTTTGTTGTGTCTCTGCCAGGTTTTGGTATCAAGATGATGCTAGCCTCATAAAATGAGTTAGGGAGGATTCCCTCTTTTTCTATTGATTGGAATAGTTTCAGAAGGAATGATACCAACTCCTCTTTGTACCTCTCGTAGAATTTGGCTGTGAATCCATCTGGTCCTGGACTTTTTTTGGTTGGTAGGCTATTAATTATTGCCTCAATTTCAGAGCCCATTATTGGTCTATTCAGAGATTCAACTTCTTCCTGCTTTAGTCTTGGGAGGGTGTATGTGTCCAGGAATTTATCCATTTCTTCTAGATTTTTTAGTTTATTTGCATAGAGGTGTTTATGGTATTCTCTGATGGTAATTTGTATTTCTGTGGGATCAGTGGTGATATCCCCTTTATCATTTTTTATTGCATCTATTTGGTTCTTATCTCTTTTCTTCTTTATTAGTCATGCTAGCGGTCTATCAATTTTGTCGATCCTTTCAAAAACCAGCTCCTGGATTCATTGATTTTTTGAAGGGTTTTTCGTGTCTCTGTCTCCTTCAGTTCTGCTCTGATCTTAGTTATTTCTTGCCTTCTGCTAGCTTTTGAATGTGTTTGCTCTTGCTTCTCTAGTTCTTTTAATTATGATGTTAGGGTGTCAATTTTAGATCTTTCCTGCTTTCTCTTGTGGGCATTTAGTGCTATAAGTTTCCCTCTACACACTGCTTTAAATGTGTCCCAGAGATTCTGGTACATCATGTCTTCGTTCTCATTGGTTTCAAAGAACATCTTTATTTCTGCCTTCATTTCATTATGTACCCAGTAGTCATTCAGGAGCAGGTTGTTCAGTTTCCATGTGCTTGTGCGGTTTTGAGTGAGTTTCTTAATCCTGAGTTCTAATTTGATTGCACTGTGGTCTGAGAGACAGTATGTTGTGATTTCTGTTCTTTTACATTTGCTGAGGAGTGCTTTACTTCCAATTATGTTGTCAATTTTAGAATACGTGCAATGTGGTGCTGAGAAGACTGTATATTCTGTTGATTTGGGGTGGAGAACTCTGTAGATGTCTATTAGGTCTGCTTGGTCCAGAGCTGAGTTTGAGTCCTGGATATCCTTGTTAACCTTCTGTCTCGTTGATCTAATATTGACAGTGGGGTGTTAAAGTCTCCCATTATTATTGTGTGGGAGTCGAAGTCTCTTTGTAGGTCTCTAAGGACTTGCTTTACGAATCTGGGTGCTCCTGTCTTGGGTGCATATATATTTAGAATAGTTAGCTCTTCCTGCTGCATTGATCCCTTTACCATTATATAATGGCCTTCTTTGTCTCTTTTGATCTTTGTTGGTTTAAAGTCTGTTTTATGAGAGATTAGGATGGCAACCCCTGCTTTTTTTTTTTTTTTTGCTTTCCATTTGATTGTTAGATCTTCCTCCATCCCTTTATTTTGAGCCTATGTGTGTCTTTGCACAGAGATGGGTCTCCTGAATACAGCACATTGATGGGGCTTGACTCTTTATCCAATTTGCCAGTCTGTGTCTTTTAATTGGGGCATTTAGCCTATTTACATTTAAGGTCCATATTGTTAGGTGTAGATTTGATCCTGTCATTATGATGTTACCTGGTTATTTTACCTGTTAATTGATGCAGTTTCTTCATAGCATTGATGTTCTTTACAATTTGGCAGGTTTTTGCAGTGGCTGGTACCAGTTGTTCCTTTCCATGTTTAGTGCTTCCTTTAGGAACTCTTGTAACACAGGCCTGGTGGTGACAAAATCTCTGAGCATTTGCTTGTCTGTAAAGGACTTTATTTCTCCTTCATTTATGTTGGCTGGATATGAAATTCTGGGTTGAAAATTCTTTTCTTTAAGAATGTTGAATATTGGCCCCCACTCTCTTCTGGATTGCAGGGTTTCTGCAGAGAGATCCGCAGTTAGTCTGATGGGCTTCCCTTTGTGGGTAACCTGACCTTTCTCTCTGGCTGCCCTTAACATTTTTTCCTTCATTTCAACCTTGGTGAAATTGACAATTATGTGTCTTGGGGTTGTTTTTCTCGAGGAGTATCTTTGTGGTGTTCTCTGTATTCCCTGAAATTGAATGCTGGCCTGCCTTGCTAAGTTGGGAAAGTTCTCCTTGATAATGTCCTAAAGAGTGTTTTTCAACCTGGTTCCATTCTCCCTATCACTTTGAAGTACAACAATCAAATGTAGAATTTGTCTTTTCACATAGTCCCATATTTCTTGGAGGCTTTGTTCGTTTCTTTTTACTCTTTTTTTTCTAAACTTGCCTTCTCACTTTATTTCATTAATTTGATCTTCAATCACTGATATCCTTTCTTCCATTTGATCAAATTTGCTATTGAAGCTAGTGCATGCCTCCCGAAGTTCTCGTGCCTTGGTTTTCAGCTACATCAGGTCACTTAAGGTCTTCTCTACACTGTTTATTCTCATTAGCCATTCGTCTAACCTTTTTTCAAGGTTTTTAGCTTCCTTGTGATGGGTTAGAACATGCTCCTTTAGCTCGGAGAAGTTTGTTATTACGGACCTTCTGAAGCCTACTTCTGTCAACTTGTCAAAGACATTCTCCATCTAGCTTTGTTCCATTGCTGGTGAGGAGCTGCGATCCTTTGGAGGAGAAAAGGCGCTCTGGTTTTTAGAATTTTCAGCTTTTCTGCTCTGGATTCTCACCATCTTTGTGGTTTTATCTACCTTTGGTCTTTGACGTTGGTGACCTACAGATGGGGTTTTGGTGTGGATGTCCTTTTTGTTGATGGTGATGCTATTCCTTTCTGTTTGTTAGTTTTCCTTCCAGGAGTCAGGTCGCTCAGCTGCAGATCTGTTGGAGTTTGCTGGAGGTCCACTCCAGACACTGTTTCCTTGGGTATCACCAGCAGAGGCTGCAGAACAGCAAATATTGCATAACAGCAAATATTGCTGCCTGATGCTTCCTCTGGAAGCTTCATCCCAGAGGGACACCTGCCTGTATGAGGTGTCTGCTGGCCCCTACTAGGAGATGTCTTTCAGTTAGGCTACACAGGGGTCAGGGACTCACTTGATGATGCAGTCTGTCCATTCTCAGAGCTCAAACGACGTGCTGGTAGAACCACTGCTCTCTTCAGAGCTGTCAGACAGGGACGTTTAAGTCTGCAGAATTTTCTCCTGCCTTTTGTTCAGCTATGCCCTGCCCACAAAGGTGGAGTCTGTAGAGGCAGTAGGCCTTGCTGAGCTGTGGTGAGCTCCGCCCAGTTCAAGCTTCCTGGCCACTTTGTTTACCTACTCAAGCCTCAGCAATGGTGGATGCCCCTCCCCCCGCCAGGCTGCAGCCTGGCAGGTTGATCTCAGACTGCTGTGCTAGCAGTGAGCAAGGCTCCATGGGTTTGGGACCTGCCAAGCCAGGCATGGGAGAGAATCTCCTGGTCTGCCAGTTGCTAAGACTGTGGGAAAAGCACAGGATTTGGGCAGGAATGCCCCGTTTTTCGAGGTACAATCTGTCACGGCTTCCCTTGGCTAGGAAAGGGAAATCCCCCAACCCCTTGCACTTCCTGGGTGAGGTGACGCCCCGCCCTGCTTCGACTCGCCCTCCATGGGCTGCACCCACTGTCCAACCCATCCCAATGAGATGAACTGGGTACCTCAGTTGGAAATGCAGAAATCACCTGTCTTCTGCGTCGGTCATGCTGGGAGCTGCAGAATGGAGCTGTTCCTATTCGGCCATCTTGGAACAGAGTCCCAGTGATATTCTTAAAGTTAGACAAATAGTTATGGTTACAACAACTGGAACCCGGGATCCTTAACTCCCAGTCTGGTGTTCATTTCACTATAGCATACTGCATCTCAAATCAATGTAAACATTATTCTTATAAAGCAAGTGCCTAGACGTGTTTGCATGTATAAAGTGTTTTCTGTTTTTCTATTTTGACTACCGATGAATTTTCTATTTTCTCTGGTCTGTCTTTTAGCCTATTACTATTTTCAGCTCCTATCTGCAAGTGAGGATTTTAAGGAACAAGTATTCCACTGATAGGCATTCCTGGCATAACTATGGATGATAACATTTGTAAGACTAACATTTATGATTCATTTTCTTTATTTGTAAAATGCATGACATGAATAAATTACAACTTCACACTTGGTACAGTATCAACTTCTGTAAGGCAGATTAAAATATTCTGGCACCATTCCCTGAAATTCCCAATCTTTTTCTATATACAATGGAAAAACTATGAGCTTTTTTTTAATAGAAAGGATTTTGCTTTCTTGGGAATTTTATGTTAGATTATAAGCTGTAAGCTTTTTTATTTAAGATTACATGATTAAAGACTTCAGTGTCTCTGACCTAGGTTCTCTGCTTTTCCACTTTAGCAGTTCTAGTCAAGGAAACTTTAAGTTTTGCTGTTGGAAGTAAGTTTGGAGCAGTGAAATATCTCTTTTAGAATACTGACCACAGCACAAAGGCACATGTTCCCGTCTCTGACTTCTAGCTAGTTAGCTGCCTGAGCATAGGCAGTTATCTTAAGCTGAGATTGGCTTCCCTTTAGAAGAAATTCTGAAGCTCTTGATTCCAAGCAGTAGGAAGTCCTCACCAAGGTCATACTGGGAGTTCATTAACTCTTCCTGATGGTTCAGGGGCTGTTAGAGAATAAGGGAAAAGGAAATAAGGTATACTTAGAAGTAGCTTTGTCAAGACACTCTTTGGCTCTTTTACTTGCTCTACCTTTTACTAGCCAAATGACCCTGGACAAGCTACTTAACCTTTCTAGGTCTTATCTCCCTCCTATGCAAAATGGAAATAATGTCTACCCAATGTAGGGTTATTGTAGGATACTATTAAAGGAGATAATATTGTGTAAATAATTTTATTTTCGCTAACATGCTCTATTTGGAATTCAGCAACTGCTTCCCTTTCCTCTACTCTCCTAACATGGGGATTCTAAGATCATAACCCTGAGATAAGCACTTGTAAATTACAGAGTATTTACAGTATGACCTTGGTGAGGACTTCCTACTGCTTGGAATCAAGAGCTTCAGAATTTCTTCTAAAGGGAAGCCAATCTCAGCTTAAGATAACTGCCTATGCTCAGGCAGCTAACTAGCTGGAAGTCAGAGACGGGAACATGTGCCTATGTGCCGTGGTCAGTATTCTAAAAGAGATACTTCACTGCTACAAACTTAGTTCCAACAGCAAAACTTAAAGGTTCCTTGACTAGAACTGCTAAAGTGGAAAAACAAAGAACCTAGGTCAAAGACACTGAAGTCTTTAATCATGTAATCTTAAATAAAAAAGCTTACAGCTTATAATCTAAAATAAAATTCCCAAGACAGCAAAAGCTAAAATTGGCTCAACTCCATTTGTTGGCCTGCATCTGGATCCTGTATGCATTTTGATGTAATCAAATTTTAATTCCACCCACCCAGGTCATTCAGGAATATATCTCTGTCTCATTAGAAAATTTAATTAAGCAGCAGTTTTTATTTTATTTTTTATTTTTGCTCTTCTCTGATTGAGCTGTACAAAATTGAAGCAAAGAATTGAGATACCTATTCAAATATTTCAAGTGAAAGCATATATTTTTATTATCCAAATCACTGCCTTAAGTTTCTACCTTCAGTCTAGTAAGGTCTTCACTTAGAATGATTCTACTTGCAAAGGGATGTTGGTCTGTGCTGGCATTTGCTGTCTATTTTTTAATTTTTCCATGAATGTGGCCTCTTAAACTCATTCATAATTCCCTTCAGGTATTCATATCTCTTTAGACTCATCATTCCATGAACTTCATTACACTGCTAAAATATGCACATCTCATTATATCCTTCTACTTCTGCATCTTATTATATCATTACCTTTATACTCCCTGCATTCTTCAAAATGTATATCTTAATCCCTCAATATATTTTTGTGACATATATGTGTGTATATATATGTTTGTGTGTGTGTGTATATATATATACATTTTAAATATTTTTATATATATATATATACACACATATATATATAAAATCACAACTTGTAACTAATCATGGTATCTTCATATTCAAAAATTATATTACCGGCCGGGCGCGGTGGCTCACGCCTGTAATCCCAGCACTTCAGGAGGCCGAGGTGGGCGGGTCACAAGGTCAGGAGTTCGAGGCCAGCCTGGCCAATATGGTGAAACCGCGTCTCTACTAAAAATACAAAAATTAGCTGGGTGTGGTGGTGCACACCTGTAATCCCAGCTACTGGGGAGGCTGAGGCAGAAGAATTGTTTGAACCCGGGAGGTGGAGGTTGTAGTGAGCTGAGATCGTGCCATTGTACTCTAGCCTAGTGACAGAGTGAGACTTCATCTCAAAAAAAAAAAAAAAAAAAAAATATATATATATATCCAATCAGCATTCTGTATATGTGCTTTCAGGTGCTTTTTCCCCCAGTACTGTGGGTCCCACTTGTGTGCTTTTACCACCGTACTTATTAAGCCTTCTTGTTTAGGGGGGTTATTTTTATAGCTATGTAATTGAATAAAATTACCTATTCACACAGAAATCAGGCCTATACCATCAGAGAAATGCAAATCAAAACTACAATGAGACACCATCTCACACCAGTTAGAATGCCAGTCATTAAAAAGTCAGGAAACAACAGGTGCTGGAGAGGATGTGAAGAAATAGGAACACTTTTACACTGTTGGTGGGACTGTAAACTAGTTCAACCATTGTGGAAGATAGTGTGGCAATTCCTCAAGGATCTAGAACTAGAAATACCATTTGACCCAGCCATCCCATTACTGGGCATATACCCAAAGGATTATAAATGATGCTGCTATAAAGACTCATGCACACGTATGTTGATTGCAGCACTATTCACAATAGCAAAGACTTGGAACCAACCCAAATGTCCATCAATGATAGACTGGATTAAGAAAATGTGACACATATACACCATGAAATACTATGCAGCCATAAAAAATGATGAGTTCATGTTCTTTGTAGGGACATGAATGAAGCTGGAAACCATCATTCTGAGCAAACTATCGCAAGGACAGAAAACCAAACACCGCATGTTCTCACTCATAGGTGGGAATTGAACAATGAGAACACTTGGACACAGGAAGGGGAATATCACACACT
Organism: Homo sapiens; assembly: GCF_000001405.40. Taxonomy (NCBI): domain Eukaryota; kingdom Metazoa; phylum Chordata; class Mammalia; order Primates; family Hominidae; genus Homo; species Homo sapiens. The sequence continues at coordinate 67,071,472 of NC_000014.9, forward strand.
GGGGCCTGTTATGGGATGGGGGGAGTGGGGAGGGATAACATTAGGAGATATACCTAATGTAAATGACGAGTTAATGGGTGCAGCACACCAACATGGCACATGTATACATACATACCAAACCTGCACGTGGTGCACATGTACCCTGGAACTTAAAGTATAATAATAAAAAATTTAAATTTAAATTTAAAAAAAAATCAGGCCTATAACCTTGGCCTAAATTGCCCTATGTCGCAATCAGGTAGACTGATCTTCCTTTTTCACACTTCCTTCTATGCATACCATTATATATGTTCCTATACATATTCACTCTTAAAAAAAATAAAGTATATTATAAATAAAAAGTAAAGTAGGAAAATGAAATAGAAAATTGAAAAAAGCACATTACAAATATATCTCTTTAAGCAATTTTAGTAGAAAACAATACTTAATCCAAAAAGGAAGGGGGGGTTAATTTTTCAATAGGATTTTTAAAGTTAATTTACACAGCTTTTATTGACTATACTTGTGGTTAAAATAAGGTACAGTCTTTAGATATGATTCTTAATATTTCCATTATTTATAGGTACCTCATTATGTTTTCACATTTTCTATATACATGTCTTATTTGCTGTAGTTTATCTTGCAATTTTTAAATTCTGTATCTATTTTGAAGTTCCTTAGTCTATAGAATTACATGAGGATTCAGAATGTATGCAGTGGAAAAAAATGTTTTAAGTTAAAATGGAAAAAAATAGAAATTTTCTCAGAAGTAATGGCATAAAAATACCTTATTCCAGTAAAGAAGGATCTCCAATATTTTTAGAAATTACAACTCATCCCTGTCTATTCCTAATGTTTTATTGGTGGAATTATGAAAATTAGTGAAAATTAAAAGAGAAAACCTTAGGTGACAGTAAAGGATTTGCCAGTACCAGCAGGGTTATTTTTTTAAGTTTGAGTGATTCACTTTCTCATTAGAGCACCTAGTGCTGCAAGAATTACCTTTTTGACTGTTTTCTCAAGTAAAGACTTTGCAACTCCTAGGAGACCATTAGCTCATCCCAAGCAGCAGAGGGTAAGTATCAGGGAAACCCAGTTCTTCCTTTTATTTAATTGTGAGACAAAAGCATAAGAAGAAAATCAGAGACACAAAGATTCTAATCAACAATACTCTTTCTTATGTGTCTGAATGTGTATAAGAATGTAACTTAGTTGCAATAATCTTTAATACTTTAACTCAATTTTCCAAAAATGGAATTTATTGACTATTTTCTAAAATCTCGTTTTCAGTTTCTATAAACTCCTCTTCTGCAGAATCCCAGTCTCCTTGGTTAACTTCCTAAAAAAAAAAAAAATACAAACCATTAATGTCTTATCATTTGGATATAACAGTGAATGATTTGGTAATACTGTTGCAACCCTGTGACTATAATGCCTTGCTAATTTCCTTACTTTCATTCTAGCAATATGGAAATAAGCCACCAGTATTTCTTCAAAGTCAGTATCATAGTTGGCATATTGGTATGTATTTCTTCTTACATCCCATCTAGGAGCTTTGTTTCATCATGCATTTTATTTTATTTTTTATTTTATAAAATATTTCCTGCATATAAACTTTGTTTTTTTAATTAATGGCCACAGTAATATTCTAACACAGGACCACTCTTTGTGGGAAAAAACTTAACAGTTATTTTTAGAATACTAAGATCCAGGGTTCAAAAAGAAAAGTACATGGTTCAAAATTATAGGACAGTGACTGAGAAATTACCATTAAAGAAGAATTTAAATTATTCAGACTACAGAGTGAACATTTTCTTTCTTTCTTTGCACAAAATCCTGACCAACAAATTCACCCATTGGACGTAAGTGCTACCCATTTATCAGTGATATCCTACTCATTTGACCAGGGTGTGGCAAGGTTTTCATCATTAAGTACTGAAAAAAGTAGGCATTTGCTCTCAATTGAAGCATTTTCTGTGACCTCAAGGACATTTTAGATATTTTTAAAAATTATTCTTCCTAAAAACGTACCCCTTTCATGTTAATTAAGTTAAATGCTTTTTATATTTACACAGTTATTTTAAAAGTTTAATGTTTTATACATAGAAATGAATATATGTAACACAGATGGAAGTTGTAGTGATAAAATAAACATGAAACACCAACCCAACTTAATAACTAATTCATTACCAATTCTGTTGCATCTTTTTGTACCACTAAATCATGGCTTAATCATTTCTGGTAATCATAACATTTGTATTTATTCCAAACTCTATAACCTTACATAAAGCTTATTTTATTTTATGACATAAGAACTGTAATTGCCAGATAATGAGCATCTTTAGATGGAAAAAAGTGCACAACACAATAGCACTTTGAGAAAGCTATGTATTTTATAAGCATAGGAATTTTATTATTCCATTAACACAACTTCTGGAGTAACTAGATTAATGAATGTACTGGTTTTCAACAAAGGAGATCTTAACCCTAAATGATTCAATCTTTTTCACTCTACGAATATATAAAGCCTGTAATACATAAGCAAGACCTGCAGTACACCAAAGTTTTGTCTAGTTGGTCTTTCAAATAAAGAGGTGAGGAATAAATTATACTGGAATAGACTTGAGGGCATCCACCATGTTAAATGTTTATTTTAGTATCTCATAAATAGCCGTGAAACTTTCCTTATGAATGTTATACATGCATACCTCACTTTATTGACTTTGCAGATATTCCTTTTTTTTTTTTTTAACAAATTGAAGGTTTGTGGCAGTCCTACATTGAGCAAGTCTCTTGGCACCATTTTTCCAACAGCATGTGTTCCTTTATGTCTCTGTGTCACATTATGGTAATTCTCACAATAATTCATACTTTGTTATTTTTATATCTCTTACAGTGATCTGTAGTCAGTGATCTTTGTTTTTACTACTGTTATTATTTGGGGGCACCACAAATTGCACCCATTATAAGATGGCAGACTTAATCGATAAACCTGTGAATTCTGACTGTTTTGCCAATTGGCTGTTCCCTTTTCTCCCTCTCCTTGGGCCTCCCTATTCTCTGAGACACAGCAAGATTGAAAGTAGGCCATTTAATAACTCTACAATGGCCTCTAAGTATTCAAGTGAAAGGAAAAATTACATGTCTCTCATTTTAAATCAAAAGCTGGAAATGATTAAGCTTAGTGAGGAAGGCATGTCAAAAGCCAAGAGAGCCAGAAACCTAGGCCGCTGGTGCTACAGCCAAGTTGTGAATGCAAAGGAAAAGTTCTTTAAGGAAATTAAAAGTGCAGTAGACCAACATTCCCTTAAGCCAAAGCGTAATCCAGAGCAAGGCCCTAACTCTTTTCAATTCTGTGAAGGTTGAGAGAGGTGAAAAAGGTATAGAAGAAAAGTTTGAAGCCAGCAGAGGTTGGCTTATGAGCTTTAAGGACAGAATACATCTCCATAATATAACAATGCAAGGTGAAGCAGCAAATACTGATGTAGAAGCAACAGCAAGTTATCCAGAAGATCTATCTAAGATCATTGATGAAGGTGACTATGCTAAGCAACAGGTTTTCAATGTAGATGAAACAGTCTTATATATAGGAAGAAGATGCCTTCTAGGACTTTCATTGCTATAGAGGAAAAATTAATTCCTGTCTTCAAAGCTTTATAGGACAGGCTGATTCTCCTGATAGGGGCTAAAGTAGCTGGTGACTTTAAGTTGAAGCCAATACTCATTGGCCATTCTAAAAATCCTAGTAGCTTTAAGAATTATGCTAAATCTTCCCTCCCTGTGCTCTATAAATGACAAAGCTTGGATGATAGTACATCTTTTTGCAGGTTGGTTTACTGATTATGTTAAGTCTTTTCTTGAGACCTCTTATTCAGACAAAAAGATTTCTTTCAAAATATAACTATTATTGATATTGCATCTAGTCATCCAAGAGCTCTGATTGGGATGTACAAGATTAATGTTGTTTTCATGCATGCTAATACAACATCCCCTCTGTAGTCCATAGATCAAGGAGTAATTTCAATATTCAAGTGTTATTATTTAAGACATACATTTTATAAGGCTATACTTGCCATAGATAGTGATTCCTATAGTGGATCTGAGCAAAGTAAATTGAAAACTTTCTGGAAAGGATTCACCATTCTAGATGTCATTAAGAGCATTTATGATTCACGGGAGGAGGTCAAATATCAACATTGACAGGAGTTGAAAAGAAGTTGATTCCAACCTTCATGGATGACTTTAAGTAGTTCACTGCTTCAGTGGAAGAAGTAACTACGATGTCGTCAAAATAGCAAGGGGACTAGAATTAGAGATGAAACCTGAAGATGTGACTGAATTGCTGCAATCTCATGATGAAACTTGAACAGATAAGGAGTTACTTCCTATGGATGAGTAAAGAAAGGGGCTTCTTAAGATGGAATCTACTGATAAAAATGCTGTAGACATTGTTGAAATGATGACAACCAAGGATTTAGAATATTACATAAACTTAGTTGGTAAAGTAGTGACAGGATTTAAGAGGATTGACTCCAATTTTCAAAGAAGTTCTACTGTGGATTAAATGCTGTCCAACAGCATTGCATGCTACAGAGATATCTTTCATGAAGGAAAGAGTCAATCAGTATAGCAAACTTCATTATTGTCTTATTTTAAGAAATTGCCACAGCCACCCCAGCCACAAGCAACTACCACCCAGATCAGTCAGCAGCCATCAACATGGAGGCAAGACCCTCCACCAGCAAAAACGTTACAACTCGCTGAAGACTCAGATAATTGTTAGCATTTTTTAGCAATAAAGTATTTTTTAAATTAAGGTATGTACATTGTTATTTTCACATAATACTATTTCACACTTAATAGACTACAGAATAGCGTAAACATAACTCTTACATGCACTGGCTAACCAGAAAATTGGTGTAAATCACTGTACTGCAATACTCAGTTTATTGCGGTAGTCTTGAACTAACCCTGCAATATCTCTAAAGTATCCCTGTAATTCACTTTAAAGTTTTTTTAATGATGTAGAGACTCAAATCTGTACATGCTTCACCTTTCATAGTAACCCTCTTAATCCTTAGCCTTAGTTAATATTGTTCCTACTGATGGTCATTTTAGCAGAGTAAATATATGTTTTGACATTGCCTTTTCAGCTCTTTTGGTAAGCGCAGTGAATAGTTGTTATGTGAAAAAAGATCTTACAGTAACCTCTCACATAGATTATGTATAATGGTGGCTTTTAAATGTTGCAGCATCAATGCCGTTACAATGGGCATGAGTAAACTTTTGAAGAATTTATAATCAATAGCAGATGGATTTATGTCCACATTTTATATTTGAAAGGCTTAGGTAGTATGTTTTCCTTTCAGCATTCTATTACCTACCACACTCTTTCTCCACTCTCGATTCATATAAATGATAAATCTTGGTTAGCCAAAGTGATGACAAGGAATCAATTTCCTGGACCACTGAACTTAGAGCTCTCCCTTAACTTTCTAAAAAGCCTCTTAGAGCTAACTACACAGGGAACTTTATAACTGTGGGATTATTTTGATAAGTGACTTTGAGAAATTAGAATGCTTTTCACTCTTATATCCAAAAGCCTTTCAGTTCTTCTAACATCTTAACTTGGACAGTAAGAAGAAAGTATAGACAGTCACTGACTTGTGATAATTTGACTTGTGGGTTTTGTTTTGTTTTGTTTTGTTTTGTTTTTTACTTACAATTATGTAAAACCATCACAATTTCAACATACTTCAAATTTTGCATTTTGATATTTTTGTGGTCTGTTGATATGTAGTACCTGAGATATTCAACACTTTGTTATAAAATAGGCTTTGTGTTAGATGATTCTGCCCAACTGTATGTTAATGTAAGCATCCCGAGCACATGTAAGGTTAGGCAAGGCTAGGCTCTGATGTTCACTCTCTTAGCTCTATTTGAATGCATTTTTGACTTGCCACATGTTTTCAACTTAAAATGCGTTTATCAGGATGTAACCTCATTGTAAATCAAGAAACATCTGTATTATCTGTGTCAGAATAAATGCCCAACCAAACAAATTAACTATTAATTTTCCCCTTTAGAGAATATATTTGAGCTCAATGCTCACAAATCATACTTAATTTTAGACATAGTTCCCTGTCTTTATTTTTCTTGTGTGTATGTCCATTGTCAGCCATTTGAATCGATAAAGACTTTTTCTAAAGATACCTTAGGCCAGTCATCTCAGTTTTAAAAAGCCAGTACTCCAGCTAGTGGGGAATTCATTAATCACTGTTATCATATGGAAAACTGAATTTTATATGTGTACTACTAACAACATAAAAAGACTACCCTTTTTGATCCAACCAGACTGCCACTGTTATCTTGCAGCACAAGTAAGCATGGCACACAAAACAATGTATCAGCCAGTCTTTTTCCACTCTTTCTTCTTGTCTACCGCCTGAGATCACTTAATTGTATATGTGGCCCAGGGTGCCCAGTGTTACATAGCCTTGCCTTTAAGATTTCTGACACTCTGTAGAATCCGTAAATATGCATGTGTGTTTATGGTCTTCATCTTCATCAAATTGAAGACATTATTTTACAGAATTTATGCAATACAATATGTGGAAGAAAGTAGAACAGAATAAACATTGTCTAGTCAGACCATGAAAGCAGGACCATAGCTTCTTGGCACACAGCCTAACCTTCAGCAAAATGAAATGCTCACAGCAGTCTGTGAAAAGCTGCAAATTCCCGACATCAAATGTTCCTAAGCAAGCATATTAGTTATATTAATCGCCTATTGGGAAAGCCATCTTTTGCTTATTATAAATGGGGCTCTTCCTGGAATGGGGCAACTGGTAAAAGGAAATTTTGCTTATGTTTTTCTGAAATTACATTTTTCAGTAAGCCCTTTGGCTCCCACTGCTTCAGCTGCTCACTGCTGTTTCTCTACCAAATGCTAAACTTAAAACAGTCATAATATCCAGGTGAGAAGTTACTGCTCCCCGGTTCCCATTTAAGTTTGAAGCCTTAGGATACCTTTCTAAAATCACAAGCACAAGTTTTATCCAACACTACTGCTTAGCTTCTACCTATGGGCAAAGGGAAGGGATGGTTTCACATCTGTGTAAGTATCTGTACGAATGCAAGAGAGACAGTCCCATGTGGTTAAGTAATTTGCAGTACTATTATATTCTCTTTACATTCCAAATGGATCATTTGGCTTGACATTGAATGAAGTCTAATACTGACTGGTTGGAAAAGCTAGAAAATTGTTTAGTCCTAAACTTTAATGAGAGATACGGATATAGCAGCTTGCAGAGAGGTATATCTGGCATTTATTCCTTCAAGATTCCTTTTGTATCTGCTGCCGACTGGGAGCCCTTACCATTTTCCACTTGATTGCCTATTTCTCTCCATATTTTTTTCCCTTCCCTTAAGCTCTCAGACCAAAACTTGAGGTCATGCATGCTTTTCTCTTTGAGGAGACTTAAATCTTTGCTGACAAGTTGACTTTATACCAACTCCAAAATCAGGACTAATCCACTAGGGATCTAATTTACCTTAAATATAGCAACCACTATATATAGCGTGAGTTCAAAATAAAAAGCTGGTTGGTTATATATATTGTAAATTTTATATTAATAATATTAACAAAAGACCAGATGGTATATGTGTGCTATAAATATGACTTTCCTAAATATCACATATAGAAATGAAATATGCTTCTTTAAAACAACTCTTGTACTTGCCTTTAAAAAAAATTATCAAGATAAAATTCAAAGTATTCAGTGTTTTTAGTATATTCAGACATGTGTAGCCATCACCACAATTTTAGAAGATATAATTCATATGCTATACAATTCAAAGTATTCAGTGTTTTTAGTATACTCAGACGTGTAGCCATCACCACAATTTTAGAACATTTTCATTAATTCAAAAAGAATGCCTGTCCCTTTTAGCAATCATCCTCCTATCCCCTCATCTTCACATCTAGCCCTAAATAAACCACTAGTCTACTTCCTGTTTCTATAAATTTGCCTATTTGGGACATTTCATATAAGTAGGATCATATAATACATGGTCTTTTGTAACTGGCTTTTTCCACTTAGCTTAATATTTTCAAGATTCATCCATGTTACAGCATGTATCAGTAATTCATTCCTTTGTTGTGGTGGTAAAAACACAACACAAAATTTATCATCTTAACCATTTTTAAGTTCAGCAGTGTTAAGTATATTCATATTTTTGTGAGACAGATCTTCAGAATTGTTTCAATTCGCAAATTCAAAACTCTCTATCCATTAAATAACTCTTACACCTCCCTCTAGCGTCTGATAACTATCATTCTACTTTTTTCTATTAATTTGACTACTTTAATTGTTTATTCATTCACCTATTAATGAACATTTGAGTTGCTTCCACCTCTTGACTATTGTGAATATAGTTTCTATGACCATATTCAAGACCTTGCTTTTAATTCTTTTGAATACATACCCAGAAGTGGGGTTGTTGGATCATATGATAGTTCTATTTTTAATTTTTTGAGGAACTTCCATACTATTTTACAAGTGGTTACACCATTTTATAACCCCACCAGCTGTGCACAAGGGTTTCAGTTTCCTTATTCATGCCAAAACTTTTCTGGGTTTTTTGATGGTAGCTATCCTAATAAGTAAGGTGATGTTCTCATTGTGATTTTGACTTTCATTTTTCTGACAATTACTGATAATGAGCATCTTTTTATATTCTCATTGGCTATTTGTATAGCATCTTTGGGAAAATGTGTATTCAAGTCTTTTTTTCATTTTAAATTCATGTGATTTTTTGTTGTTGAGTTGTAAGAGCTCTTTATGTATTCTGGATATTAACTCTTACTAGATATATGATTTGCAATTATTTTCTCTCATTTCATAGGTTGCCTTTTTACTCTGTTGATTGCATTCTTTGATGCACAAAATATTTCTGTTAGATGTAGTCCCATTTGTCTATTTTGCTTTAGTTGCCTATGTTTTTGGTGTCATATCCCAAAAAAAAATCATTGCCACATTGAATGTCATGAACTACTTCCTGTTTTCTTCTAGTTTTATAGTTTTAGGTCTTACATTTAGGTCTTTAATGCAGGTTGAGTTAATTTTCTTTGTTGTTGTTTTTTTCACTGTCTTCTTCTTATTATTAATTTCCATAGGTTATTAGGGAACAGGTGGTGTTTGTTTACATGAGTAAGTTCTTTAGTGGTGATTTGTGAGATTCTGGTGCACCCATCACCCAAGCTGTATACACTGTACCCAATTTGTATTCTTTTATCCCTCACCTGCCTCCGACCCTTTCCCCCAAGTCCCCAAAGTCCGCTGTATCATTCTTATGCCTTTGCATCTTCATGGCTTAGCTCCCACTTATAAGTGAGAACATACAATGTTTGGTTTTTCATTCCTGAATTACTTCACTTGGAATAATGGTCTCCAGTTCCATCCAGTTTGCTGCAAATGCCATTATTTCATTCCTTTTTTGGCTGAATAGTAGTATTCTGTGGTATACATATACCACAATTTCTTTATCCACTCATGGATTGGTGGGCATTTGGGCTGGTTCCATATTTTTGCAATTGCAAATTGTGCTGCTATAAACATGCATGTGCAAGTGTCTTTCATGTATAATTACTTCTTTTCCTCTGGGTAGATACCCAGTAGTGGGATTGCTGGATCAAGTGGTAGTTCTACTTTCAGTTCTTTAAGGAATCTCCACACTGTTTGCCATAGTGGTTGTACAAGTTTACATTTCTACCAGCAGTGTAAAAGTATTCCCTTTTCACCACATCCCCACCAACATCTATTATTCTTTTATTTTTTCATTATGGCCATTCTTGCAAGAGTAAGGTGGTATCACATTGTGGTTTTGATTTGCATTTTCCTGATCATTGGCGATTTTTTTTATATATTTGTTGACCATTTGTATATCTTCTTTTGAGAATTGTCTATTCATGTCCTTAGCCCATTTTTTGACAGGATAGTTTTTTCATGCTAATTTGCTTAAGTTCCTCGTAGATTCTAGATATTAGTCCTTTGTCAGATGTGTAAATTGTGAAGATTTTCTCCCACTCTGTGGGTTGTCTGTTTACTTTGCTGATTGTTTCTTTTGCTGTGCAGAAACTTTTTAGATTAATTAAGTCCCACCTATTTATCATTGTTTTTCTTGCATTTGCTTTTGGATTCTTGGTCATGAAGTCTTTGCCTAAGCCAATGTCTAGAAGGGTTTTTCTGATGTTATCTTCTAGAATTTTTATAGTTTCAGTTCTTAGGCTTAAGTCCTTGATCCAACTTAGTTGATTTTTGCATAAGGTGAGAGAGGAGGATCCAGTTTCATTCTTCTACATGTGACTTGCCAATTATCCCAGCACCATTTGTTGAATAGGGTGTCCTTTCCCCACTTTTATGTTTTTGTTTGCTTTGTCAACGATCAGTTGGCTGTAAGTATTGGATTTATTTCTGGGTTCTCTATTCTCTTTCATTGGTCTATGTGCCTATTTTTATACCAGTACCATGTTGTTTTAGTGACTATGGCCTTACGGTATAGTTTGAAGTCACGTAGTGTGATGTCTCCAGATTTGTTCTTTTTGCTTAGTCTTGCTTTGGCTGTGTGGGCTCCTTTTTTGGTTTTATATGAATTTTAGGATTGTCTTTTCTAGTTCTGTGAAGAATGGTGGTGGTATTTTGATGCAAATTACATTGAATTTGTACATTGCTTTTGGCAGTGTGGTCATTTTCACAATATTGATTCTACCCACCCATGAGCATGGGATGTGTTTCCATTTGTTTGTGTCATCTGTGATTTCTTTCAGCAGTGTTTTGTAGTTTTCCTTGTAGAGGTATATAGTATAATTGTAAGAGTCCAATTTTATTCTTTTGCATTTGGGTATCTGATTTTACTAGCACCATTTGTTGAAGAGACTGTCCTTTCCCCATTGAGTGGTCTTGACACCCTTATCAGAGATCATTTGACTATACACATGAAGGTTTATTTCTAAGTTCTCTATTCTATTCCATTGATCTATATGTCTGTTTATGCCAGTACCATACTGTTTTGATTACTGTGGCTTCATAATATGTTTTGAAATCAGGAAACATGACTCCTCCAACTTTGTTCTTTTTCACAATTGTTTTGGCTATTTGGAGTCCCTTGAGATTCCATATAAATTTTAGGATGAGTTTTTCTGTTTTTATAAAAAATGTCCTTGGGATTTTGATAGGATTGCACTTAATTTGTAGATTGCTTTGGGTAGTATGAACATTAACAATATGAACACAGGCTGTCTTTCCATTTACTTGTCTCTGTTACTTCTTTCAGCAATGTTTAGTAGTTTTCCAAAAATACATCATTTCTTTTTATGGCTATGTAATGTTTCATTGTATAGATGTACCACAGATATACCACAGTTTGTTCATTCATCAGTTGATGGATATTTAGGTTTCCATCTTTTGGCTATTATGAAAAATGATGTTAAAAATAATTATGCTCAAGTTTTTGTGTGGCATTTGTTTTCACTTATTTTCAGTTTGCCCTTGGTTTTTAAGAATAATTGAACTTAAATAAAAGTAAAGACTGTTCTGGAAGTCCAGGATAGAAAAAGACATTTTGAGTAAGACCTATATTTGTTGCTTTGAGTAGACACAAAGGAAATAAAAATTGCAATTCTTTCAAAAGCTTGAGGAACCACACACACCAACGTGAGACCTCTTACATGTCAATTTTGCAAATAGTTGCTAACTGATTGATAGTATTTGGATCTATGCCCCCCCCCCTCCAAATCTCACGTTGAAATGTAACTCCCAGTGCTGTGCTGGAAGTGGGGCCTAGTGGGAGGTTACTGGAGCTGTGCTGTCATCATGATAGTGAGTTCTCTTGAGATCTGGTTGTTTAAAAGTGTGTGGCACCTGCCCCCTCTCTCTCTTGCTCCTTCTCTGGCCATGTGAGGTGCCACTCTCCCTTTGTCTTCTGCCATGATTGTAAGTTTCCTGAGGCCTCCCCAGAAGAAAAAAGCCACTATGCTTCTTGTACAGCCTACAGAACTGTGAGCCAATTAAACCTCTTATCTTTATAAATTACCCAGTCTCAGTATTTCTTTATAGCAGTGCAAGAACAGACTAATACACTGATATATTACAAATTGAATATATAGTTGACAAAAAATATATACATGAGTAGTATTCAGAGTGGCAATGATCAAGGAGAACTTACTATCTTGAATGAAGTCTTGATATAGATAACGGATGTAGACTGGCAGCAAAAAGGAAAATAACAGTCTGGGTTTAGGGAAGCCTTGACCATATGCATGGAGGTGAGCAAGTATATACAGAAACATGACTTGGCTAGAGAGGGGGTACAGCTTCAAAGAAATGAGATTAGAGATTAGCAAAATATCCTTCTCTATTTTATATCCTCTTTGATCGAAGCTGGTTGTATTTGATTGATATGACCTTTTTCTCTACTTATCTGATATTTTCTTGTAGTCATAATCATTAATGCACTCATTCATTGACTCAGTCATTCAAACAGTGACTGAGTGCCTTTTACATACCAAACACTGTGCTTGATACTAGGGTTACAAAGATGAATGATATATACTGTGACAACAAAGAATTCAAAGCCTGATGCAGAAGTCAAGACAATTTCACAAACAGCCACAATACAATATGAAAAGTGTGCAAAAATAGATGGTTACAAATCTTATGCAAATATTAAGAGTAAATGTAGTCCTTCCAACCAATTCTCTGTTTTATCACCAAAGAAGTTCCAAAAAGACAAATCTCATTACCTTTCAAGAGACTTAAATTATGCTAGTAAATTAACTTGAAGTCATTAGTCTGCTTAAAAATCCCTTATTGGATTCCCATTTTTACAAAATTAGGTTTAAACTCCCTTGATCCTGTTTCATTTGTCTAAAACGCCCCCCTCTCCTACCTGGTTTTGAGTTACTCTTTAAAACTCAGCTCAGGTGTTTATCTCTTCTAGGAAGATTTTCTAGATGTTCCACAAGTTTTTGGTTAGGTGATTTTCTGTATGTCTCCCATATCACCCTGTACATTTTCCTGCCACTGTCTATGTCATACTATCTTGTAATCATCTCTATTTCTCTGTCTTTCTCTTTCTCTCATGCACTGTGCTTGTGAATTCCTTGAGGACATCAGCCAGGCCCTACGGGTATTTTTGTCTCCAGTGTCTAGCATATATTATGTTCCCAGTGTTTGATGAATGGATGAGCAAATCAGTCAGTGAACTTGTTGGCCTTGGTAAGAGACAGAAGATCAAAGAGGTAACATCTGAGCTGAACCTTGAAGAATGCATGATACTTACTAGGAGGAGAAAAAGGAAAGAAAAAAGGCCTTCCTGTCCAATGCAACATGATCTGCAAAAGCACAGACTAGAAAAAGCCCAGAATGTTTAAGATGTGACAAATCATACTTTGTATCAGAAACTGGACATTTGTCAGAAATAAAGGTCAATCGCAGTGTAAATATTTCCCACATTGTGCTAAACGATTCTTAAACTAGCACTGCAGAATTATTATAATAGGATATGTTTATTAATTTTTAGCCTACTAAAGTTTTGGTGGGTTGTAGCATTTAAATAACTACATTATTCCTTGTCATACATACATTTTTCTCATTTGAGCCTCCTCAGAAACTTGAGGGTTATTTTTTAGTATTTATGTGTATGTTAGAATGGGGAGTAAATATTATTGCAAACTACCAGAACAAAGTTTTTAGATTCCAGAATCAAATGTTATCAAATTATTATTGAGTAGATTCTATACCATAGGAACCTTCCAGAATGGAATTGCACAATAAGATATATGAACAACTCAGGCATTCAAGACAGAAATCAAGTGAGCTGATATTCTTTTATCCAAATTGTCAGTGAGACCTTACTCCACTTTCTTCTACTTCCACGTATCTAAATCTTGCAAAAGCAGAAGATAATCATTATTTCTCTCCTCAGAGTGGTCAAATAATTCATTCATGTGCATTTCAAGACACTGTGAGATCTATAATACAGCTGTCAGTATCAACTGTCTTTCAAACTTAGCATATTAAATATAAAGCCCCTGTCTTAGAATATAGGAAGAAAGAGAGCCATGCTGAGCCTGTTTCTTTGGGGCTACTGGCAAGAACTTAGGGTGTAAAAGTGACTATACTAACTGTTGATTCTTATGGCAAACAGATTTGTAGTTTTTTGTTGTTGATGATGGTGTATGTAGTGATAACATATACATAACATAAAACTTAACTATTTTAACCATTTTTAAGTGTATGGTTCAATAGCATTAAGTACATTCACATTGTTCTGTAACCATCACCACCAGCCATGTCTAGAACTTTTTGGTCTTCCCAAACTGAAACTCTATACCCATTAAACACTAACTCTTCTTTCCCTCCTCATCCCAGCACCTGCCACCACCATTCTACTTTCTATCTCTGTGATTTGACTACTCTATGTACCTCATGTAAGTGGAATCATAAAATATTTGTCTTTTTATGGTCAGCTTATTTCACTTAGCAGAATGTCCTCAAGATTCATCCATGTTGTAGCATAGTCAGAATTTCCTTCCTTTTTAAGGCTAAATAATATTTCTGTATGTATATACCATACTTTGCTTATCCATTCATCTGTCAATGGATACTTGAGTTGCTTCCACCATTGATTATTGTGGATAATGTTGTGAATATGGGTGTACAGATACGTGTTCAATTCCCAGCTTTTAATGTTTTGGATGTATACCTGGAAATGGAATTGCTGGTTTATATGGTAATTATGTTTAATTTTTTAACTTGCAACTTTTTAAATGTGAGAGATATAAAGGAAGAGCAGTGGGTAGAGGGAACATGAGTGGTAGTAGTTATTACTATGGTGGTAGTATGGCTGAAAAGTTCTGGTCGGGCGCGGTGGCTCACGCCTGTAATCCCAGCACTTTGGAAGGCCGAGGCGGGCAGATCACGAGGTCAGGAGATCGAGACCATCCTGGCTAACACGGTGAAACCCCGTCTCTACTAAAAATACAAAAAATTAGCCGGGCGAGGTGGCGGGCGCCTGTAGTCCCAGCTACTCGGGAGGCTAAGGCAGGAGAATGGCGTGAACCCCAGGGGGCGGAGCCTGCAGTGAGCCGAGATTGCGCCACTGCACTCCAGCCTGGGCGACAGCGAGACTCTGTCTCAAAAAAAAAAAAAAAAAAGTTCTAAAATCTAGTTTTTCCATCTTACTTTAGCCACCTATGAAATATATTGCTGTGGGTAAGTACTTACTGTATTTAAACGTCTCTTCCGGCCAGGCGCGTGGCTCACGCCTGTAATCTCAGCATTTTGGGAGGCCAAGGTGGGCGGATCATGAGGTCAGGAGATCGAGACCATCCTGGATAACACGGTGAAACCCCATCTCTACTAAAAATACAAAAAATTAGCCAGGTGTGGTGGCGGGCGCCTGTAGTCCCAGCTACTCGGGAGGCTGAGGCAGGAGAATGGCGTGAACCCAGAAGGCGGAGCTTGCAGTGAGCCGAGATCCCACCACTGCACTCCAACCTGGGCGACAGAGCAAGACTCTGTCTCAAAAAAAAAAAAAAAAAAACTCTCTTCCTTCACCTGTAAAATGAACATAACAGTGCTCTACTAGATTTTCATGGGATTAAGTGAGATTATATATGTGATTCATACAGTGTTAATAAACATTTACTGTATCATTGGGGCTAGCCACCAGAAAAACTCAGCCCTTGTGCTATCTCTGATAATTAACCACTATTAGTGCACTATTCAAAATCCCAGCAAAGTCATTCATGTAGATTCTGAGCTGATGTATAGCTTACATTTTGATCTACACCCCCCAGTGCCAGGACAAACTACTTCCAGATAAGGAACCATCCCATGAGGTTTACTGTGATCCTGGACAAGCACCACTGGGCCCACTGCTAGGGACTATATAGCTTCAGGTTCATGTGAGAGTTAATGTTATATATGTGAATACAAACTAGACCCTATGGTCCCACCACTTTGCTTGTCTGACATAGTATGGCCCAAACCTCCAGTATAGCTCCAGAATAGCTTCAACATCCTAGGAGTATCTGAAGGTAGAATCTGCTAAGTTCTCCCTTCCAATTCAGGTGCCAAAAGGGAAGAGTCAATATCACTATAGGATATAGTGATATTCAGAATAGAAATTTGAACATCAGATGGTCCGAATATAAATTTAAAAATCTCTCTACACTTACTTCTAGGTCCTAGGATCTGGAAATCAGAGACCCTAGGTGGCTAAGAAGGTCAAAGATAAAAAACACAGACTCACTTATCCAGCTCCGGAAACAATGAAATTTTATAAATTATACAAATACTTCATGTAAATCAAGTCCTATATTACTTGTCTTGGTTTCTTTTCTTCCTTCCTCTTCCTCTTTTTTTAACCTCATTTATTTTTGCTTTCCTTTTTTTAAATTAGCAATAAAGACAGTTTCTGACTAGAGGATTTCAGGAATTGGTTATGACTCCTGAAACTTTTATTCTTATTGGCACTAGTTCAAATTTCTGAGCCAAAAGTGATTTTCATCCAGAGTAGTCTGAATACTTACTTCACACAAAAGGTTACTAGTGCTCTTCTTATAGGCACTAAATTATTTCAATTAATGAAGCCAAAATCAAAGGCTAAAACTCAAATGGAATGACTGGGATATTCCTTCCTTTTTTTTTAAGCTTTCTCTTCTTAAGAAAAAAACAACTTTAGGATTAAAAAATGATGCATTCATTGTAGAAAACGTGGAAATTTTGGGAAAAGTAGAGCAAAGGGAATAAAAAACATAAATCTAACATTCTGAAGTAATAAATGCTTTATATTTTCATGTATGTTCTTTCCTTTTCTACTGATATATACACATATATCTTAATACAGTTAAGACTATATGCTGCAGATTTGACTTTGCATGTTGTAAAAATATGTATCATAGGAATTTTCCTATGTCAATGAATATTCTTCATAAATATTACTTTAGCCTCCATAATATTTTACCTTAAGAATCTATCATTTCTTATTTAAGTACCTATATTGTTGATAGTTTGGTTTCTTTCCATTTTTTCTATTGTAAGCAACTGTGAAATAAACATATACAGAAACATTTATCCATTTTCCTACGATAGATTTCTAGAAGTGAAACTACTAGGTCAATGGGTATGAAAACGTTTAAAGTTGGCTTTCCTTTTAAAGAAAATCATATTTGGGTTGTTAAAGGATTACTGACACATCAACTGAGCACATCTTTGATTACTGTATAGCACCTCATATTCAGATAATCTCTGCAAACATTGCCATGAATTGACTGAGTATAATCTTTTATTTCAGGCACCAGAATGCATCTCTTCTATCTCCTGTTTCTTGGGACAGAAATCAGGAGTTCTGACTGAGCCCATTTACAAGCTGTGTCAGACAAGCACTCATGCCCATCTTGTTTATGACTGCCTGCTTACCCATTGCTCTCCATATTTACATTTTCCTTCTTTTCTCTTCCTTCAGATGGAATGGGGCGAGTCCTTGCTCAAGATGTATATGCAAAAGACAATTTACCCCCCTTCCCAGCATCAGTAAAAGATGGCTATGCTGTCCGAGGTAAATATTTTGGTTTTCTTAAACATAATCAGGCACTGTATTTTTTTTTCTTTTTTTCTTTTTTTTTTTTTTTTTTTTTTTTTCAAATTTTTGGCTTAGCCCAAGCACCCAGCAACTGTTAGGTTTGTTTCCCCATGACTGTCAAAATAACTTCATTCACAGATAACCATGTTAATCTGCACCTGTAAATTTTCTGGCACAATCTTGATTAAAACTTTTGAGGTAAAGAAAAGTTACATGAAAATTCTCGTTTTAAATTTTTTATTTTTAATATTTGTGGATACATGGTAGGTATACATATTTATGGGGTACATGAGATATTTAGATACAGGCATACAATGCATAATAATCACATCAGGGTAAATGTGGTATCTGTCACATCAAGTGTTTATCCTTTGTGTTACTGAAATTCTTGGCTACAAATAAATATATAGGAATAAAATTAAAACACTGTACTTCAATTTATTCTTTCCGTTCCTACACATGCCAGACAGCATACATTCTTAGTGTGAAAGTTTTCCAGATGTTTTCTAGTTGAAAACATCTGATGGTCTAAGAAAAAAGAGCAGATTCCCAACACAAGGATAAAGTTGAGGTGGTCTGTTCTGCTTTCAACTCAAACATCAGTAAAGGGCTTCATGAAAAGCGGACATGAGGGAAACCTCTAATTCTCTAGAAGACATCATATTTCAAAATTCTGGCGCCCCAGCAGCTCACACAAAGTTGCCTGAGATTGCATAAAGCTTAAAAGCAAATACTAAATAGCATTTTTCTGCCTAAATTCCAATCTAAGAACCCCAAATGTAAATTCTGAATTGCTTAGAAACTGTTGTTGATTTTTTTGGTTTTGTTTTTGTTTTTCCATGTACAACATGATATTTTAAAATATGTAGTACACATTGTAGAATGGCTTAGTTGAGCTAATTAACACATGCATTACCTCACATACTTATCATTTTTGTAGTGAGACTTAAAATCTACTCTCTTAGTGATTTTCAAACTATGATACATTGTTATTATGTTATTGGTTATTAATTCAAGGTTGATATCATTGAAGAAACATGTTTAAAAAGTTTTTCAGTTTATCAGAGCTGTTAAGCATGCCAATTCCTTTTTAATGGGGTACATGAGATATGGAGTTATGGAGTCTCTTACTTGGTTTTGGTTTTGGTTTTTTTAGCTACATTTAGCCATGAAAATACAGGTTGGGCATCCCTAATTCAAAAATCCAGAATTTGAAGTACTCCAAAATCTGAAATTTTTTGCGTGTTGACATGGCACCACAAGAAGAAAATTTGATACCTGACCTCATGTGAAGGGTCACCATAAAAACACACTCAAAACTTTGTTTAGAAAAATTATTTGAAACATTGTTTAAAATTACCTACCTTTTGGCTATGTGTATAGGATATATATGAAACATAAATTAATTTTGTGTTTAGACTTGGGTCCCATCCACAAGATATCTCATTATGTATATGCAGATATTCCAAAATCTGAAAAACATCAAAATCCAAAATACTTCTGGTCCCAAGCATTTCATATAAAGGATGGTCAACCTGTAATTTCCTTTTTCCTGTAATTAAATACTTCATTAATCTCCTCTGTATTCCATCATCTCTTAGTAGTTATCTTTTTATGTTGGAGATAGCATAGCAAATGATTAAGGCTACAGGCATTGAGCAAAGCTCAAGTGATCTGGGTTTTAGTACCAGTTCCATCTGTGTAACTTTGAGCAGCTCACTTAAATTTTTTAGCTTCAGTTTTCTTATCTCTAAAATTATGATAATTACAACAATACTTACCCCAGCAGGTTGTTGTAAGAATTATATTAAAAATTAATTGTAGAAATTAATTAGTTGTAGAAAGCCTTAGTAAACTACCTGGCACACATTTAAAAAAAAAAACACTTGATAATTGTTTTTTAAAATATTTAATGATAGTAACCATTATTATCATATTATAAATACATTTTCTTAAACTATCTCTGAAAAATGGCTAACATTTGAATTGCTACTCTCATTTTCTGTGTAAATAAAATGGTAGAGAGATTGAGCTTATGTTTTTTCATTTCCACTAATGTATTCTTTCTCAGGAAGATTATCTTGGATTCACTTCATTCAGCTTGATCTCACTAGATTAGAATACTTCTGAAATTGGCAAAGCCAAAACTTAAATACCAAATTCCCAATGGCTCCTATGTTTTTTTCTTTCAAATTGATTCCTTCTACAGTGTTGATTAGAATAAATATTATCCAGACAGAAAATTATTTTATTCTTGTGATAGCTTCACTGGCTCTTCTAGTTTCTTTTTTTTTTCCCAATGTCATTGTTGGCTTGAAATAGTTTCTTATTGCCCATCTAAAAAGTAAATTCTGTGTTGATCTTACAATTTGTAGCCATACAGGATTACTATAAAATGACAAAGAATTCTTACTTCCAGAGTAGAGCAAACAGCTACAGTAGATGAAACACCAGAGACAAAGAAGTCTGTTTTTTATAGTCTTTGTAACATAATGTGGGAGAGAGTGAGAAAATAAATTATTTGAGGCAGAATTATTCCCAAACAGAATATTGTTCTGTGATTTTTACATGAGCTAGCAGCAGCTCAATTAAAAAAAAAAATGGTTGCTGTTAGCTTTTCTTGTTGCCAAAGGGAGCCATTAGCCCTTATGAGCTTTTCTGACACTGTACAACTCATCAAAAAATTTTTATGTAAAATTACCATTTAGTATCCTATTTATGCTTTTGTTTGAGAGGTTTTTTTTTTTGTTATTTCACCAAAAAAAATCTAAAATGGTATCTCACATTATAAACAGTCCAAGAGATTATCTACCGTGAAGCTGATTCACATTGTTTCTTTCTTGCAAAGGGTTGGTACTTCTCCAAGATATGTAACATATAAGAGCGACATAAGTGATAATCATTGCATAAATGGTTAAATCTCAAAGTAGGAATGGTTAGTATGTCTGTGTATACAATATGAACATCATAATTAAAGAAGCAAAAGTCTTCTGTAGACAAGTGGCATGGTCTTAGAACTATGCTGAATTTTCCAGTTTATACCTCCTCACTTTTTTGTCTGTAATTCAGGAAGATAAACTCTATGAATCCTAAAAGTGATTTTTACTGTATTTAGTAATAAAGATGATTTTCATTTCTTTAAAGGTAAATGTATTCATTAGCCTCTTTTCTGTTATAAATACCACCCCCAGGCAGTGTTTTGGTAAAGAATATCCTTGAGGCCAATTATTGTGGCTAAGACCCTCCTTTGAGTACCTCCTTCTCTCTACCCCTGTCTTCCTTTACTCTGGTTCCTTTCTCCCTGCTCCCTTGATTCTCCCTATTTTCTTCTCCTCTGCCTTTACCTTAGGCCTTCCAGTAATAACCAGTGGCACTCGTGGGCATTGCTAACCCTCTAGGTGTAAAGATGTTGCTAACTTGCTCTGGATCACTAAGCATTAGCCAGTATCCTTCAGAAACATGTGGGATAAAACTCCAAACCAGTTGGAGGATCACTTGCTTTAAGGTATGTGAGTTCAAAAATCAAGACAGTAATAAAATGACTAAGGAAATAAGTAGAAACAGCTCAAAATAAAACATTAAGAAAGAATAGAATGTAAAGAAGGCAGGAATAAAGTAATGATAATATAAAATAATAGGAAGACCTGTAAACCTAAAACTGCATTCACGTGGGAGTGAATTTGAAAGATAAAAGTAGATAAAATAAAAATGAAAGTGGCATATTTACAATTTGAATCAATACAGTATTTTTATTCTTCACATTTTTCGATTTTGTTTCTCCCTTCACACTGATGAAGCTAATCATCCTCTTGATGCATTCACATCCTCCTATATAGATGTAGGTGACTATTTTATCACACTTTCTTTGTGGATATTAATAAGGGCAAAAATATGTTAGAACTCCAAGTTCAGCTTTCTTGAAAAAGTTCAATTTGAAAGGTTTATCCCTTCAGAGCTTATTTTGGGATCATTTGGAAAAAAGGAATATTTTGAACAAACCAGGAATTATTTTCAGAGTCATAGGTAACATACAGTTCTGAAAAGATATATTAAGAGAAAGTTTTGCCATTTGGGTAGAGAGAATTTAAAAATTTTTTTTTCTTGTTTACATTCTGATTGAAATTACTTATGAAAAATGCAAAAATAATGAAAAAGAACATTTTAAAATTACCCATTAACTTACCCCCTGGCCACTATTAGCATTTTGTGCATTTACCTCACATACAGTGGGTTAGAATACACCAAAATTCAATATAGACAATCCACAGCCATTGTGACTTAGACCTAGTTCTTATTCTTTCAACAGTAATCATATTTCAGGGCTTTTGTTGTATCCATTTGAATCCTCTTTCGCTACAACTGGTTCTGCAATTCATTTGACAGCCTATTTTGCCCTCTACTATAGGATACTTTCAGTGAAAAAGAGGGCCTTATGATATGGGAGTAATACTCATGTGAATAGATAAATAATTTGGAATAATTTAGTTTAGTTAATTCCAAAAAGAAAATATTTCTGAAAATAATGCCTTCTTTCCCAATACTAACAATTAATAGGCATTTTCCCTGGAAGATAATGGTAAAGAATACACGATGCCTTCTTACTCATGTATCCTATGCCCACCTCCCTGCGTTCCATAGGAAAAGGTAGCCAGTTTAAAATTCCAAACAATTTACCTAATGTAATACTTGAGTGTAATTGCAGCAAGTATGAATCCTCTTATTCCAGCTTTGTCACCTTCTCTTGTTACCTTTCCCTACCAACCCCTCCTATAATCTTAACTTTAGTATGCATATAAATACTATTACCCTGTGCCCTTCTTGCAGTCTCAGACAGTGTAGTTCTATAAGCAGAGCAGACAAATTACTATTCCTTCTGCCTTATTTCTCTATCAACTATTTCCTAGGACCTCTGAAAGTTATGCCATCTCTATGTGCTCTAATTTGTTCAGCCTTAAAGTGGAAATGATGAGACTCTTTAGTATTGAAAATAAATGACTAGCTATACAGTATTTCAAGAGACTTAAAGAAAGATCACTATGGCTGGAAAATGAAAATGAAGGATAATTCCATGGCAGATGATTTGAAGATCATCGTTTTCTGTGTACACAATGAGTAGTTATCTAGTGTTATCAATTTCATATCAAATAATATAACCAGAAATCTTCAAATAAATGGGTGAACAGAACTAAAAGTGTTTTCTGGATATTAGAAAAAGGAGGAATAAGAAGGAACAGCTTCAGGGTCTTGCATTAAACATTAATTGTTTACATAATGCATATGCCATTAGGGTTTGGTTTATATTGCTTTTATCACTTCTTTCAAATTAAATTCTACAGTTGCAAAGCAGAAAAGAAATTCATTAGCAGATATGTCAGAATTACAAGGGAAACAATTCTAAATCTGCAGAAGTCCTTCAAATCTATTCATCTTTTCTAATGACGTACTGTGGTTTACTTTCTTTTTTTCTTTCCAAGCTCTAGGTTCATGTGCTATCATGCCTCCGCTTCTGCCCTCTCCTACCTAAACTTGTAGAATTCATCTTGAAAAACTGCAACTTTTTAAAACCTGTTTCTTTCATAGATATTTTTAAATAAATATAGCCATGCACCACATTAGCATTTGAGTCAAAAACAGACTCTTACATGATGGTGGTCCCATGAGATTACAATGGAGCTGAAAAATTCCTATTGCCAAGTGAGATTGTAGCCATTGTAAGGTCACATAGTGCAACACATTACCTTTCCTATGGTTAGATATGTTTAGATACACAAATACTTAACATTGTGTTACAGTTGCCTATAGTATTTAGTATTGTAACATGCTGTACAAGTTTGTAACCCAAGAGCAATAGGCTATACCATGTAGCCTAGTTGTATAATAGGCTATACCATCTAGGTTTGTGTTAGTACACTCTGTGATGATGTTCACACAACAAAATTGCCTAACAATGCATTTCTCAGAATATATCCCCATTGTTAAGTGACTCATGACTGTATCAGGAAGTTAGATAGATTGATACTTATTTTTCTGTCTTCATAAGACAAACCTTGGTGTTAATGTAAAATTTGGACTCCTGTAGTTCACTAATTTTTTTATTCCTTAAATTTTCTCTTAGTCTGAATTTGTCTATATTCAGTTTGATCTTATAGTGCTCTGCTCCTCAAAAAGGGTAATCCATGGACCAGCAGCCTCAGCATCAGCTTGTTAGAATTTAGAATCTCACTGTTGGTGGGACTGTAAACTAGTTCAACCACTGTGGAAGTCAGTGTGGCGATTCCTCAGGGATCTAGAACTAGAAATACCATTTGGCCCAGCCATCCCATTACTGGGTATATACCCAAAGGACTATAAATCATGCTGCTATAAAGACACATGCACACGTATGTTTATTGTGGCACTATTCACAATAGCAAAGACTTGGAACCAAGCCAAATGTCCAACAATGATAGACTGGATTAAGAAAATGTGGCACATATACACCATGGAATACTATGCAGCCATAAAAAACGATGAGTTCATGTCCTTTGTAGGGACATGGATGAAATTGGAAATCATCATTCTCAGTAAACTATCGCAAGGACAAAAAACCAAACACCGCATGTTCTCACTCATAGATGGGAATTGAACAGTGAGAACCCATGGACACAGGAAGGGGAACATCACACTCTGGGGACTGTTGTGGGGTGGGGGGAGCAGGGAGGGATAGCATTAGGAGATATACCTAATGCTAAATGACAAGTTAATGGGTGCAGCACACCAGCATGGCACATGTATACATATGTAACTAACCGGCACATTGTGCACATGTACCCTAAAACTTAAAGTATAATAATAATAAAAAAACAAAAAAAAAGAAAAGAAAAAGGCAAAAAAAAAAAAAAAAAAAAGAATTTAGAATCTCAGACCTTGTCCCAGCCCTACTAAATTAGAATCTGTATATTCACAAGATCTCGAGATGATTTGCATGCACATTAACTGTTGAGAAATAAGAGAAATAAGAAAAATGACTCCTCTCTTGGTACCAAGAAACTTCTATGTAGTTGTTTGACT
Source organism: Homo sapiens (assembly GCF_000001405.40). NCBI lineage: Eukaryota > Metazoa > Chordata > Mammalia > Primates > Hominidae > Homo > Homo sapiens. Next base: position 67,096,150 of record NC_000014.9, read on the forward strand.
GATTCTTCCTTAGCTAGCAATATAGAGACACATTTACCAACTGGAAAGGTTCAGAGTAAGGTTGAGAACATAGTGCAAGTGAGCACATATTCTCTCCACAATTGGTATACTTTCCCTGATAACAAAGACCTTGCTCCTTAGAATCGCTTCAGAGTACTTTCACATATGGACCTCCCTGGAACTCCATACTAGGCTTGCCCCAGATGACCTCCCCAGATGACCTCCAGCTACTCATTATTCAGTTTATTTAGAGGATTATGCAGAATATTGATATGAGCATTTTGAGTTTATGTGCATGTGTGGGGGAACAGGAGAAAAGAGAAATACTTCCCACCAAAAACTTTTTGAGAATGCCAACTTCATTTCTTTATTCTTTTAACAAATATTTATTATCAGCGATGACTTAGGCACTATGCTAGACAGAATAATGACATAATCTAAGTTATACAGAATTAATCAAAGCAGTCTTTTTTTTTTTTTTTTTGAGACAGGATCTCGCTATGTTGCTCTGGCTGGAGTGTAGTGGTACAATCCCAGCTCACTAAAACCTCCACTCCCCACCCCCCACCCGGTTCTCAAGCCATCTTTGTGCCTCAGCCTCCCAAGTAGCTAGACTACAGGCACACACCACCACACCTGGCTATTTTTTGTATTTTTGTAGAGGTGGGGTTTTGCCATGTTGCCCAGCTTTGTCTCAAACTCCTGAGCTGAAGTGATTTGCCCAGCCAAAGCAGTCTTTCTAAACATTCTTAAGATGTTGACTCAAATTTTGAAGGAAACAATATATATGGATCAGCAAAAAGTATATATAACAAATATAAAACTTTGTGTTAGAAAATATTACTTATTTGGTCATTCGTGCATGAATCTTCTAAGAACGTTTTTGTAGCCACATTCATTCGTCTGCCAACCATTTTTGAATACTTAACATATTGAACATTTATTTAACACCTATTGTACAGCAAGTGCCAGGGATTAGCAAATACTGTAAATATATTTAGAAGCCATAATTGATTTCAGGCTACACTGGGGAAACAAAAGAGGATGCACGCAACTCTTGAGGGGAGAGGAGTCAGATATGACTTCACAGAGAAGATGACACTTGAGCTGAGTCTTAACAGCTAAAAAATCTTTAATCAGAAGGCAAGAATAAGAAAAGGACGCTTTAAGTAGTGGAAGTAGCACATGTCACGGAGCCAACATATGAGTTATCTTGGTATTCTCAGGGATAGTACTAGCAGTTGATAATAGCTAGAGTATAAGATATAAGGAAGACATGAACCAAGGCCTTTGCACATATGTTCTCTTTGCACACAATGATGGAGCACTTCCACTTCATGTCTATCTTTTCCTCTCTCTCCCTCTCCTTCTTTCCCTCCCTATTTCCCTCCCTTTGTCTCTCCCCACCTACATACCTGCACACACACACCCCTACTTAGCTCTTACTCATTCTTCATATTCAAATCAGAAATCCTTTTATCATGCTTTTCATGACTCTCCAGTGTAGCTCAGGTACTTTAATTATATACTCTCATAAAATCATGTTTCTTTGCTTTGGAGTGGTTTTCTTAATTTGTATTTATATATTCATTAATGTGATTATTTGATTAATATCTGCCTCTCCTGATGCATCAGTGGCTTTAAGAGTTTTATTTTAACCACACCCATGGGAAGAAATACATTAAATATATTATACATCAAAAGCCAATGATATACACACACATATATAACATATACAGTACATATAAATATACATACATACACGTATATAAACAAAAATAAGTTTTATGAAACAAGAGTCATCCTTACCATGTGTGTTGAAATATATTTTTATCCTTTTCATTAGAAAATTGTTCACAAGTTGATTTTACAGCCTATCTCCATTTGTCATCCAGAGTTTGAAAAACCTTGTAACACACACCATCATGGCACATGTATACATATGTAACAAACCTGCACGTTGTGCACATGTACCCTAAAACTTAAAGTATAATAATAATAAAAAAAAAGATAAACCTAACCTGGAAAAAAAAAAGACAAACCTTGTAACAGGTTGGCACTGCACTAAAATAGAAGCAGCGTCTAGGTTTACCCCCTACTCTCTCTCCAGCCCTTAGTTTAACACTTGGGGCATAAAAGACACTCAGTAGACATTTACTGAATGAATAAAAGGAATAAAGAGCTTCAAAGGTATTGTTTTAAAAGTGTGATTATCCCCATTTTTACCAACAAGAAAACTGAAGGTGAGAGAGGTTTAGTAATTTTGCTGAGAGTCCCTGAAGCTAACAATAAACAGAACCAGGATTCAGATTCAGGTTTTTTTACTCTAAAACAATGCTAATTTCCCCCTTGTGCAGGAAGTAAAAAAAAAGAAAATGGGTCAGGCGCGGTGGCTTATGCCTGTAACCCCAGCATTTTGGGAGGCCGAGGCAGGCGGATCACCTGAGGTCAGGAGTTTGACACCAGCCTGACCAATATGATGAAACCCCGTCTCTACTAAAAAAATAAAATAAAATACAAAAATTAGCCGGGCATGGTGGCATACGCCTGTAATCCCAGCTACTCAGGAGGCTGAGACAGGAGAATGGCTTGAACGCGGGAGGCAGAGGTTGCAGTGAGCTGAGATTGTGCCATTGCACTCCAGCCTGAGCAGCAAGAGCGAAACTCCATCTCAAAAAAAAAAAAAAGAAAAAGAGAGAGAGAAAATACCTAGGTTGCTATAGGAGGTAGCAAGCTGATAATTATTTATCTAGTAGAGAAACAATTTTAAATAAGTTTATTCACGTTTGAGATGCAGTTGGTGTGGAACTCTGAAAGATAATTGATGTTTTAATTTTCTACAGTAAGAAAATTATCATTTGCTCTGAAAGATGGCAAAAATAAGTGGGGGGATAGATGAAACAAGATTGGTAAAATGTTGATAATTGTTGAAGCAATGACGTCTATGTCTGTTGTAAAAACTTTTTTTTTTTTTTTTGAGACGGAGTTTCACTCTTGTTGCCCAGGCTGGAGTGCAATGGCACGATCTCAGCTCACCACAACCCCCGCCTCGCAGGTTCAAGCAATTCTCCTGCCTCAGCCTCCCGAGTAGCCGGGATTACAGGCATGTGCCACCATGCCCGGCTAATTTTTGTATTTTATTTTGTATTTTTAGTAGAGACGAGGTTTCTCCATGTTGGTCAGGCTGGTCTTGAACTCCCGACCTCAGGTATCTGCCCGCCCGGGCCTCCCAAAGTGCTGGGATGACAGGTGTGAGCCACCACACCCAGCCTGTTGTAAAAACTTCTTAAACTTTAAAAAAAAAATAACCCATGAAAATGGCTTAATAAAATAACATTACAATAAAACTCTTCTATAATACTTTTTACAAGTAAAAACTGAACAATGTAACAGGATTCAAAAAAAAAAACACAAGAAAGGCAAGAGTTTATTAACTGAGATAATATCTGTAAAGCATAAAATACAACATCCTGTGACAGAAGGGACCCAGTGTTAATTTTTGTCCCTCTTCACATCAGGCTAACCAAAGCCATTTATGCAAAAAAGGGATGACTTCATTATAAACGGTGTTTTATATAAGCCTTTAGAAAAAAATAACACTTTATAGCTACATAAACGAGCAATTAATCTAATGTCCTTTTAAAAAGAGAAAATATCATTATTAGTATGATTATAAATGTAATCTAAATATTCATATATAATGTATATATTTTTTGTAGATATGCTCCCAAAACTCTGCTGTTTGCAGATAACATGAAGGTAATGGTCATGATTTTAAAACTTACTAGATAGGCACTTTTGCCCAGTCGTATTGGTCTGAAAGCCACATCATATGTCAAGAAAACTCTTTGAATCTCCAAGAATGTTTCTTCATCTAGCCATTGTTATACTGTACATATTTTTTAATAAATTTTTTATCCCAATTATGGAATTTTTTTTTTCAATTTAAAAATAAATAGCCAATGGAAAATGTGATGCAGTACTGCCTATGTATTCTAACTCATAAATAGAATTTTGATACATTATTTTAAAAAACTGTGCTACAATTACAAGACTGGATTTTAGTCCTAGCTCTACCATTAACCAGAAATTGTTCAGAGTACTTTACCTTTTCTTTCCACCTGAATTCTTTCATTCTATAATTCATTTCCTTCAGCTGTCAAATGAAGAAAGGAATGTTCTTCCTATTTCACATCAGGAAGCCCAGACTGGGAGACAAATAAGAAAACAGTATGAAGTTGTTAAAATGTTATAGAAAAATGGAGACATATGGATATGTATACAAATAGTGATAAATCCATTTATATATATATATATGTCCATGAGTGTACACACACACATCACACATACATACACATGGATAAGGTGGCATTTATTTAGGAAGATTGGCTAGAATAACTTATTAGAAAAGCACAAGTGTGGAAATTACGAGGTGACAGGAAGACCACCTCCAGTGACACCATGGCACAATTAGGCACCAGTGGTACAATTAGGACCACTTCTATCAGTGCATGTGAGTTGCGGATACCAAACATTAAATCAGTCGTAACAAAGCCATTGTCAAGTCTAGGAGATCAGAAAAATATTCCACTTCTCTAAGCCTTATCAAATAATTTGAGTCAAATTTTAGAATTCCAATTTTAGGTTCTTGTTCCATGCTGTAGGTCCATACTGATGTTTGTTCTTGGCTCTGTTCCATCTCACAGCTGCTGATGGCCCAGGAGATCGTTTCATCATTGGGGAATCCCAAGCTGGTGAACAGGTGAGATTGATAGGCCTGAAAGGCACTGAAGATTTCAGCTTCATGGACTTTGGGCATCTAATTCTAAATTTCTCCTATCAGTTTAGTGGAAATTAGAGAGAGATTAGTCAGAAGATTATCAAAGGGATGAAAGTATAGTTCCCAGGAGAACCAAAAGAATTATTTCTTAATTGAAAGTATCTACATCTATTAATATATGTCATAGTATTATTAGTATGTCTCACAGACATGCCTTACAAGCATTTTCCAGACCTGTGATTGGGTGATTCTTTTTTTCCTGAAAAAAAAAATGTTCTGAATAGAACAATTTCTAGGTAGTCTTCTCAGACTTTTCCCCAACTTGTGTTACAAATGGGGAAACTTAGAAGTAGATTATTTAAACTTTTTAGCTAATTATTTAATTTAATTTTTCTCACTTGGGATCTAGCCAGGGAACAGGTTTACATATATTTTTATTAAGAAATGAAGCAATAATAGGCCACATTGGAAATACAAGTCCATTTGACACTTTGAGACCAGTAATTGGCCACTTAATTGAAAAATCAGTTAAAGTGGGAAATTATTTTATATATTTAAAATAAATATAAATTTAACTTAAATATTTATTAGTCAATAATTTGATGAAGAACCAAGGTCTTCCTTTTAAATAAGTATGCTGTTTTAATTTCTATCAGGTCTTTCTTACGTAAACCACACAAAAGGCAATGTCTCTGATTTCCATTTTGATTTCTTCAAAGTAGAAAAAAACTGAAGGATACTTGCAATACATAGAAGAGCAGAATCCTTTTAGGGTTTTATTATATTTTACACTCTTTTAGTTTCCTCACTCACACCTAATTTTACAGCATTTCTTTTTAGCAGCATTTTTAATGGAGGTTTCCAAAAGGTTTTACTTAATTTTTATAGGAAAAAAATAACATATATCATTGGTTTATGTATTATTTATTTATTTATTTATTTATTTATTTATTTATTTTTGAAACGTAGTCTTGCTCTGTTGCCCAGGCTGGAGTGCAGTGGCGCGATCTCGGCTCACTGCAAGCTCCGCCTCCCGGGCTCACGCCATTCTCCTGCCTCAGCCTCCCCAGCAGCTGGGACTACAGGCACCCGCCACCACGCCCGCCTAATTTTTTTGTATTTTTAGTAGAGAGGGGATTTCACCATGTTAGCCAGGATGGTCTCGATCTCCTGACCTCGTGATCCGCCCGCCTCGGCCTTCCAAAGTGCTGGGATTACAAGCGTGAGCCACCGCGCCCGGCCTGGCCATTGTTATGTTTAAGAGGAAATAGCATCTGTCAATCCGGTGAGTTACGAAGGTTGATCAACAGAGCTCCTACCTTATTAAATGGAACTAGAAGGAAACCAAAGAACTTTTTTCCTTTCCCTGCTGCTTCCCTTCAAAGTTTCCTCTTCCTGAGATGGAATACCCAACTGCTACTACCAAGCAATATATAAAAATAAAAGTGGCAGCGGGCGTGGTGGCTCATGCCTGTAATCCCAGCACTTTGGGAGGCCGCGGCGGGCAGATAACCTGAGTTCGGGAGTTTAAGACCAGTGTAACCAACATGGAGAAAGCCCATCTCTACTGAAAATACAAAATGAGCCAGGCGTGGTGGCACATGGCTGTAATCCCAGCTACTCTGGAGGCTGAGGCAGGAGAATCGCTTGAACCTGGGAGGCAGAGGTTGCAGTGAGCCGAAATCTCACCACTGCACTCCAGCCTGGGCAACAAGAGCAAAACTCCGTCTCAAAAAAATAAAAATAAAAATAAATAAAAGTGGCAAGAAATAAATAAATAATAATTTTTAAAATGAAGGCAGCAGTTTGGCAAACGCTATGTTCCATGCCTTTCTTCCTTGGCTTAGCATGGACTAACACTAGAAACGAGTTGAGATATATAGGAGAAGGATGATGCCAATGGTGTTGACACTAGCTTCTTCATTTTAGCATCCAAAAATTGAGGAGATTCGCATGCAACTCTCTGAAGCTAAGTTGGCACTATAGTGATACATATTCTCATCCATACTGCACCAAGCTGGATTTCATTACCATGACCATTTTTCTGACAAAAAGAACAGCTAGGCTTGATTCTTTTTTATAAATGACTTGTCTTGTTTGTTTGTTTGTTTGGGTTTTTTTGAGGGGAGGGAGGTTGTTCTTGGTTTTGGGTTTCTGGGTTTTTTCTTGAGACAGAGTCTTGCTCTGTTGCCCAGCATGATCTCAGCTCACTGCAACCTTCACCCCAGTATGGACTCTGTGTGGGGGCTCCAACCACGCTGGGTTCTCTATTCTGATCCATTGGTCAATGTATCTGTTTTGCTGTCCAAACCATGCTATTTCAGTTACTATAGCTTTGTAGTATATTTTGATTTCTGACAGTGGGAAGCCTCCAGTTTTCTTCTTTTTATTCAGGATAGCTTTGGCTATTTGGAGTCTCTTGTGGTTTCATACAAATTGTAGGATTTTCTATTTCTGTGAAGATTGTCATTGGTATTTTTATAGGAATTGCAATGAATCTGTAGATCGCTTTTTTCGTAGTATGGTCATTTTCACAGTATTAATTCTTCCAACCCAACGACATGGGATGCTGTTTCTTTCTCTTTTTTTTTTTTTTTTTTTTTTTTTTGTGGCCTCTTCAGTCTTTTTCATCAGTATTTTATAGTTTTCCTTATACAGATTTTTTACCTCTTTGGCTAAATTTATTCCTAAATTTTTTTTGTAGTTATTATACATGGGATTGCTTTCTCATTTTCTTTCTCTGCTAGTTTGTTCTTGGTGTGTAGAAATGCTATTCATTTTTGTGTGTTGATTATGTATCCTGCAGCTGTACTATATTTATCAGTTGTAAGAGTTTTTGGTGGAGCTTTTAGGGTTTTCTATATATAAGATCATGTTATCTGCAAACAGGGACAATCTGACTTCCTCTTTTCCCCTTTGGATACCCTTTATTTCTTTCTCTTGCCTAATTGTTCTGGCTGGGACTTCCAGTACTAGGTTGAATAAAAGTGTTGAAAGTGGGCATCCTTGTCTTGGTCCAGATCTCAGAGGAAAAGCTTTCAACTCTTCCACATTCAGTATGATGTTGGCTGTGGGTTTGTCATCTAGGGCCTTCACTGTGTACACTCATTCTTTCTATACCTAAGTTGTTGAGAGTTTTAACCATGAAGGATTGTTGAATTTTATCAGATGTTTTCCTAAGTCTGTTGAGATGATCATATGGTTTTTGTCCTTCATTCTGTTGGTGTGATGTATCACATTTATTGATGGGCATATGTTGAGCCACCCTTGCATCCCCACAGTAAATCCCACTTGATCATGGTAAATGATCTTTTTAACGTGCTGCTGGATTCAGTTGCAAGTGTTTTATTAAGCATTTTTGCACCAAGGATATTGGCCTATAGTTTTCCTTTTTTGTGTTGTATCCTTTTATGGTTTGAGTAGCAGAATAATGCTGACCTCATAGATTGAGTTTGGAAGAATTCCTTCCTCTTCAGTTTTCCAGAAGAGTTTGAGAAGAATTAGTATGAGTTCTTCTTTAAATGTTTGGTAGGATTAAGCAGTGAAGTCATCAGATCTTGGGCTTTTCTTCAGTGGGAGACTTTATTACAGATTCAGTCTCATTACTCATGATTGATCTGTTCAGGTTTTCTATTCTTTTTGGCTCAAGCTTGGTAGATTGTATGTATTGAGGAATTTACTCACTTCTGCTAGGTTTTCTAATTTTTTGGCATGTAGTTCTTCATAGTAGTCTCTAATGACCCTTTGTATTTCTGTAGTATCAGTTGTAATGCCTCCTTTTCCATTTCTGATTTTGCTTATTTGGGTCTTTTTTTATTAGTCTAGCTAATGCTTTGTCAATTTTGTTTATATTTGCATAAAGTCAACTTTAATTTCATTCATCTTTTGTGGTTTTTTAGTCTCAATTTCATTTGTTTCTCTTATCTGTATTCTTTCTTTCCTTCTTCTGATTTTGGATCTGGTTTGTTCTTGCTTTTCTAATCCCTTGAGATATATCACTATGTTGTTTCATTGAAATCTTTCTACTGTTTTGATGTAGGTGTTTATTGCTATAAACTTCCCTCTTAATGCTGTTTTTGCTGTATCCCATAGGTTTTTGTCTGCTGTGTTTCTATTTTCATTTGTTTTGGGAAATCTATTTATCTCTTAATATATTTATTGATCCATTGGTTGCTCGGGAGCATATTTTGTAATTTCTACATGTTTGTACAATTTTGAATGTTCCTCTTGTATTGATTTATAGTTTCAGTCCATTGTGGTTGGAAAAAAATTCGATATAATTTTAGTTCTTTTAAATTTGTTGAGACTTCTTTTGTGGCCTAATATGGTCTATCTGGAGAATGTTCCATGTGCAAGTGAAAAAAAAATGTGTATTTTATAGCTCTTGGATGAAATGTACTTTAAATATCTGTTAGGTCCATTTGATCTAAAATGCAGTTTAAATCCAGCGTTCCTATGTTGATTTTCTATCTATATGACTTGTCCAATGCTGAGAGTAGGGTGTCAAACTCCCCAAATATTATTGTATTGGAATCTGTCTCTCCTTTTAGATAAATAATACCTGCTTTATAGTGGGTGATCCCATGTTCAATGCATATATGTTTGCGATTATTGTATCCTTGTGATAAATTGATCCCTTTATAATTATAGAATGACCTCTCATATTTCTTTTTACAGTTTCTGACTTAAAGTCTATTTTATCTGGTATAAATGTGGCTACTTTTACCTGATTTTGGTTTCCATTTGCATCAAATATCTTGATTCATTTCTTCACTTTCAGTCTATATCTGTATAGGTGAAGTGAGTCTCATGTAGGCAGCAAATAGTTGGGTTCTTTTTTTTTAAATCCATTCAGCTTGTCTGTATCTTTTAACTACGGAATTTAATCTATTTACATTTAAGGTTATTACTGATAGATGAGGACTCCTGTCATTTCATTGTTTCCTGGTTTTGCTTACCCCTTGCTCCTTCTCTTATTGTTTATCATTGCAGTTGGGTGGTTTTCTACATTGATACTGTTTTATTCTTTTCTCTTTCTCCTTTATTAATCTGGTCTACCAGTGAGTTTTATGCTTGTGTGTGTTTTTATGATAGTGATTATTGTCTTTTTTGCTTCCAGATATATGACTCCCTTGAGAATTTATGGTAAGGCCAGTGTAGTAGTAATGAATTCTCTCCATTTTTGCTTGTCTGGGAAAGACTATTTCTCCCTCATTTCCAAAGGATAGCTTTGCTGCATATAGTATTCATAGTTAGAAATTTTTTTATTTCAGCACTTTGAAGATGTTATCTCCTTTCTTCCTGTCCTGTAAGGTTTCTGCAGAGAAATCTACTGTTAGTCTAATGTGGATTTCATTATATATGACTTGATTTGGAGACCTTTGGAATTCCTGGACCTGGATATCCATACCTTTCCCCAGACTTGGGAAGTTTTCAGCTATTATTTTATTAAATAAGTTTCTTATGCCTTTTCCTTTCTTTTTTTCTGAAACTCCAATAATATGAATATTTGTTCTTGTATGGTGTCCCATAAGTCTTACAAGCTTTCTTCACTCTTTTTCATTCTTCTGTTTCTCTCTGTCTCTCTCTCTTGCTGGGTATTTCAAACAACCTATCTTCCAGTTCAAAGATTCTTTCTTCTGCTTTATCAAGACTGCTATTGAAGCTCTCTATTGTAATTTTTTATTTCATTTTTTGAATTATTCAGCTGTAGGATTTCTGTTTGGTTCTTTTTTATGATTTCTCTATCTTTGTTGAATTTATCATTCTTATGAATTGTTTTGCTGATTTTGTTGAATTATCGCTAGGTTTTGTTTTTGTTTTTGTTTTTGTTTTATCTAATTGAGTTTCCTTAAGATCATTATTTTGCAATTTCTTTTCCAGGAGTTCATTGATTTCCTTTTCATTGGAGTCTGTTACTAGAGATGTATTCCTTTAGTGGTGTCATATTTCCTTGCTTTTTTGTGTTTCTTGTGTCCCCATGTTGATCTGTGTGCCTAGTGGAACTTTTGCTTCTTTCAGACTTTCTGGGTGGTTTTGTAGAGACGCCTGTAGTTGGGCTTTAGTGTGTTGGTTGCAAAGGGTATGGTGACTTTCTGGACAGGTGCAATGGTGTAGTCTCCTTGCAGCTTTTTCAGTTGCATTCAATGTCAGTAATAACTGTGAGTACCTCAGTGGCCTAATCCATAGAAGTTTGTGTCAGTGGTAGTAGTGGCATAGGCTGTTAATATCCTTGGTGTCAAGGGCTTTTAGAGTCCTCCTCTTCTTGTTTTCCACACAATAGGGAGAATCAGCTGAAGGGATCCCTCTTGGTGTTAGGTCTGACATGCCCTCCAAGCAGCTACAGTGGCACTGGGCTCAAAATATGGTGCTTGGAGTGACTGTGGAGCCAGGATCCAAGGCTCAGGGTCTTGTGAATCCATTGTGGCACCTGGTTCTTGGGGTTCAGGTTCACTCTCTGTGGCAGAGTTGGGTGTAGGTTATCCAAAGAACCAAGGTTTATGACTGAGGCACCCCCTAGCAGCTTGGACCCAGGTGCCCTGGTTGTACCTGTGATTTTATACCTCATGGGTAGGGTGTAGTACTGACCAAACTCCAAAGAAAAAGGTTTTGGCCAGGGGAGCAGGGTATGGCCGCAGCTCAGGAACCAGAGCCAGTAGGGCTCAGCAGCAGCTCGGGTCACAGTGGATAAGGTACTGTGTAGTAGTGACCCTAGACCCCTGGATGGTGGGGCTACGCAGGTCCTCACTTCAGACTCTGAGGCCAGGTGCAGAAGCAGCAGATACCTTAGAATGGCAGAGCGCAGCTGTGGTTTGATCCCCGGGGGGGCCAAGGATCAACACAGAAATGACTCAACTCCCCAGAGAGGGGGGTATCTCAGCAGCTCAGACTCTAAGGGGCTATAGTCTAGCTCCAGAGAAGCAGGGTACTAGAGTTATTTGGCCTGTAGGTCAGGATATCTTGGCTCAATCAGCACTCTGTTTCCCTAGGACATGAGTGACTACATCAGCTCAGCCTGGGATGCGTAGGTGCTCAGCTTGGCAAAGTGTGTGCAACATACTTTCTAAGCCTTGCCATAACAGAGCAATATGTCTGGAAAAAGGATGATTAAAGAAGATTAGAAACTATCTCCAATGTCTGGATGGAGTTAAGGGAAACCAATAAAGGAATCTGCAGCACCCAGGAGCTAGCAACAGTGAGATTTCCTTACCACATCTTAGTCTGAAGGAGCAAAGAAAGACAATGGTACCTGAACCTGGGAAGATTCATATCTGTGGGAGAGGACTGCCCAACAGCAGCTCTTGCTCTCAGTAGGAGAGATGCCCTAACCATCACCAAACTGCAGCCCAGGAGGAAAAGAGCAAGGGGAATGAAAACTCTACTTTTCTGTCTCTCTCCTACCCTCTACATCTCTTACTGACCCCTCCCTTTGGCTGAGTCTCACCAGACGCCAAAGTGGTGGGAAACTGGTTAAAATAGTCCATAGAGGTCAGCTTCTGGACCACAGCACAGAGTAGAGAATGATGATGTGATCTGGAGAGGCAAACAGAAAATGAAACAAATCTTTGTCTTTGTAAGGCTTATATTCTGTAATATATAATGCACTTAACATTGTACCTAGCATAGATTGTGGGTTCAATAAATATTAGTTATTGGTAGTATTGCTTACAGTAATAATATTATGGAGAGAAGATTTTTAAGACTTTTGTAATAAATTTCCTGTTTTACTTTGATTGTACTTTCAGTAGTAAGGTATTTTTTTTTCTTAACCATTCCCTAAGGGGTGTGTGTGTGTGTGTGTGTGTGTGTGTGTGTGTGTGTGTGGTTTATTTTACTTTGTCTTATTTTGGTGGTTAAAATAACAACAATGACAAAACATACACACACATAACATTAAATATACCATCTTGACAGTTTTTAAGCTTATAGTTCAGTAGTGGTAAATATATTCACATTGTAGGGACTTAAGATTTTAAATAGAGTCATGAGTTACTTAATGAAGATATATTCTGAGAAATATGTTGTTGGGCAATTTTCTTGTTGTCCGACCATCATAGAGTGTACTTACACAAACCTGCATGAGTAGCCCACTACACACCTAGCCTACATGGTGTGACCTGTAGCTCCGAGGCTACAAACCTGCACAGCATATTACAGTATTACTGAATACGTAAGCAATTATAATGGTATTTGTTTATCAAAACAAAAAGTACAGTAGAAAATATGGTAATCTTATAGGACCACCATCATATATGCAGTCCAACATTGAGCAAACTATCCTTATGCAGCACGTGACTATACTTATGAGGCAGACATCTTTAGAAAGGAATCTTTTGGCAGGGGGGATTAATATTGTCTCAGGATTTTTTCTTAGGGAGAATTTGAAGCATTCATTTTCCAAACTCCAGTCTAAATCATTGCCCCTGACAAGTGACTTTCAGATCACTTCTCTATCAGATCAAATCTATCAGATGAATCTTACAGAAAAATGCTTTTCCTCATGTTGTAAGAAGTTAGCAGGGAAGGTTCTGTCTCTTATACCATCAATATGAGAGCACAAACAATGAAAATCTTGTTTTTCATTTTCAAAAGTAATGTTTAACCTAGGTCATTACAGACACTGGAATCATTTTTAAATGATTTAATTATATTTGCTCAACCTCTATTATTAATTGATAGGTGAGCTAATGTGTTTTAGAATATTTTCAAAGGCAATAATTAAAATATTTCTGGCTTGCCTTTATTTAACCAAAAAGTTTAGTTAATAAAGTACTGCATTTCTCAAACATTAGAACTTCAATAAGTTATGAAGATTTTTTTTTGTAATTGTTATTCACAATGTATGTCCTAGCAATTTTTTTACTTACAGACTCTCAAATCACTTTACATATATTAGGAAAATGTACATTATTTGAGAGGCAAAAGTGGCAAATGTAAATGGCAGTTCTTCAAAAGTAAAGCAGAGCACCAAGACACCGAATAGTCATTACCTTAAAGTACACATAAAATCAGCTTAAATGAACCTAAAGCCCCTTTAGTGTGAGTGCACCTGTTTGTGGATAGCTTTTATTACACTGGCCCAAAATGAATAAGACTGTAAGACTTTCTTTTATGGTTTATTTTTTAATATTAAAAAAATTAACATCCTCTGCAGACTTTTCCTTTGCAGCAGCAAAGTACATCAACTGTCTTTTTCATCTTTATTTCCAGCCAACTCAGACAGTAATGCCAGGACAAGTCATGCGGGTTACAACAGGTGCTCCAATACCCTGCGGTGCTGATGCAGTAGTACAAGTGGAAGATACCGAACTTATCAGGGAATCAGATGATGTACGTCATCACCAAGTCTTACTGTGCTGTTGTTCCTATGGCAGTATTATGTCACAACCATTTTCTGCAGTGTTTGTGAGATTAACCCAGTTTTTTGGGTTGTTTAGTTTTGTTTTGTTTTTGCTTATGGTGGGATCTTATATTGTAGTATATGAGTCTCCAGTAAATAAGAAATTTCCTTAATCTTGAAAATCTGTTGTTACAGGAGGGGTTTCTATGATCATTGCTGTTATAGCAGAATTTGAATCATATTTGACCCAAGCAGTTTCACATGCAAACAACGAAAGAAAGTACCTCAAGAAAGAAATGCAGAGATATTAATGGTTGACATACCTTCCAGAGCAGAGATATTAATGGTTGACATACCTTCCAGCTGAGAAATTTGCCATTGAGACTAGCTTCTGATAAAATGTCAAGGAGTTCATGAAATCAGAATTTACTAGAGAAGAATTTAACAAAGAGCACTTGGGCAAGTTCTTGAATATTACACTAAGCCAAGCATTTGAACCAAATGACCCTTTCACCTCTGGTTTTCTGTAAGTCTGGAAAAAGCTGTGCCACCAAATGACAGCCTGGAAATATTAAGTGTATGTCAGTTCTCCCTCCATTGCCTCAAGTAAAAGATGCTGGAATCTTTTTGGACCTAAGCAAGCCTTTATCTCACTGAAAATAGTGGCAGGTTATTGAAACCAGAGTATAAGCCAGTAATAAAAGTAGAATAGATTCAACTGAGGTTTTAATAATCAGCTCTCTTACTTGTTTTATGAAGAAAGTAAAGATATATTTTAAAGCTGAGGTGAAAAATAAACATATATTCTCCCAAGCCGAGTAGATAGTAAAATTGGCCATGCCAAGAGACAGACACTTTCCCTGATCTGGAGATTTTCTTTTTAATCACCTTTCCATATGTAAGGCTTATAAAATTCAACCCTTGGCAAACAGATCACATTGCCTGCTGTTAAAACTGCCTAAGCAGATTTATTGGCATCAGGGAAGCCAGCAAAGCACTGAATTCCAGAACACATACATCCACAGACTCTGCCAGATGACAAGACACAGTTCCAATGTCACAATATTATTCACAGCCCATAAATGTAAAATTGATTACTGCAATTAATGGACAGAAATCTACTACCAGGCAAACTATAAGTCCTTTACTGAAATTTCTGCAAGTATTTGGTAACCTTGGCATGGTATTGAACCCATGATTCATGGGAAAAGAAGGAAGATATTACCTCCACACACGTTCACTTTATTAGGGTAGCCACCTACATATGTATATAAAAATATATAAACAAATTCTATATAATGTATTAGTTCAAATATTAAATCTTATAAACAAGATTTAATATTTGAATTGGTACATTTTTTAAAAGCATAAAAATTGGAGAAAAAAATTTTTTATTTATTGGCACCAAACCTTCTAATTTTTCAGGAACCTGTGTTAGAAATTCAGTGTTTTCAAAGGGTGTAGCAAATAGTTTTCTTTTTGTCTATATTTGTATATATCCTGGGCCTATCTGATGGTAAAAGTATCGGAGTAACTAAATTCTACTGCTCAGAAATTCTGTTTGAAATTACATGACCGGCTGTTATTATAGGGCACTGAAGAACTTGAAGTGCGAATTCTGGTGCAAGCTCGGCCAGGCCAAGATATCAGGTAACTTCAAAACACATAGAATATATAGCCTACTTTTGTTTCTACATGATCATTTACTCAGGAAACCCTGGCTACTATAAATCTGCAGCCATGTCAGTTAGCCATTAATTTTCAGGGCTTTAACAAAAAGCAAAATGAATGTTATGAATTCTGTATCACATATCTGCCCTGCCTACTTTTTAATGAAGATGGTAAAGGCGAGTTAGTCAAAAGCAAGATGAGAAAGAGGTAAAGTCATGAGCCTACATATTCTACAGTTAATTCTACTTCTAGATAATCCAGAATTACCCAATCCCATCCCTAAATAATCTGGAATTTGGTATCAACTCAGATAATACCAGAATTGGGTATTTACACAATTAACTAATAGCATATGCTCTAGTGACTACCAATAATAATGGAATAATCTGTTCCTTGTTATATACAAAGATGAGGCTATTTGCTATGATAAATAGTGCATATACCTTAAATTATTTTTCTTAAAATGGAATATGTTTACCCTGATTCCATTAATACTAATTTGCTGAACATCCCTTTGTAACGAAGCTACACTTCTCCCATCCCTATGGCAGCACACCAAGGTTAATGTACCTCAGTAGCCACAGATCAGGACCAACCTAAGTGGTCCATATGGAAATTACCTCTATGACTGTAGCCTCATTAGCATTATTCTCCTTGACAAAGCTAGCCAGCTGTGGACCTCTTATCATTAATGCCGCTAGATATTGCCATACAAATTCTTGCCTTATCAAAGAAAGTTTACAATTGGTATTTTTACTATAATGTAACATAAAACAATTTGTAAAGTAATTTTATTCACAGGTACTCATGAAAAAAAATTTCAAATATGAAGTAACATGTTTTTCTTTAGCAGTAATACATTCAAATCCTATTTCTGTTTTCTGTTGTGTGATTTAACTTTTAAAATTAAAAAAGCATAGGATTTTTAGAATCCCTTCAATTCATTGTTTTCCTACTACTTTATTTCTAGACTTTTTTGTCTTCTTGAATGTCCTTTTTTGACACTAAAGTTTCCCTCTGAGTTGAGAAAATGTTGTTCTCTAATCACACTGCTTATGGTTCTGCTTTGACTTTCAGACCCATCGGCCATGACATTAAAAGAGGGGAATGTGTTTTGGCCAAAGGAACCCACATGGGCCCCTCAGAGATTGGTCTTCTGGCAACTGTAGGTGTCACAGAGGTTGAAGTTAATAAGTTTCCAGTGGTTGCAGTCATGTCAACAGGGAATGAGGTATTAAAAATAAAAATGGAGGGAGTGGGGAGAGGGCCCATAAGATAAAGGTATTTCTGACATATGTTCTGTGTTGTAAATAGAATGTTGTAGATTATAGATCATACCAGTGGATCCACATTCTTATAACAGGGAAACAATAAATTGGCTTTAGGATAGTTTCAAGTTCAGAATATGAGAACAAAGAAGAACTAGTAAAAATTATGTATTATGAAATGTTCTCTTCTATTAGAATGAAATATTATAACCAATGGCCTTTCCACAAAGTCAGTACACATAAGCAAAAAACTTTAGCTGCTAGCTATAGATATTAAACTATACAAACTCAGTACTGTTTCTGTTTAGACAATGAATTGTGCCCATCCTGCTGCTGAAATGATGAGCTACTTCTGTGTGGGAAGTATCAATGAATCAGGACATCATGGCTAGCACTTCTTGTGAAAAGTTCCATTTGATCTTTAATCACTAAGAGGGATTTGATAATCAGGTTTTTTTTTTCCTCTCTCTCTCCCTAAAGATAGCATCTCTAGTGGCATGATATTTAGAATGGGTCAAAATGTCTTTTCATTCCTGATTTAGAAAAGAGAATTTAGTCCATCTCTTTCTGAGAACTCTTGAAAAACTTCCTATTGCTTGTTTTGCTTAGGTTGTGCAAAACTTCAGTCAGAAGCTCCAAGGTCAAATGGAGAATACTAAAAAGTGAATCTGCTGGAAACTCAAAACCTTATAAAAGAATCAGAAACTATTGAGATTTTTAAAAGTATTAATAATTCCTTTGACCTTACTATTAAAGAAAAGATTAGCGGGATTTTTTAAAAATCTCTTTGTTCTGAAAATAAACCCATCATTATTTTTAATTTCTTGAAGTCTTGGAAATGAAAATTTTCAGAGGTCTTTTTATGACATTATAGTCCTTTTGGTTAAAGCAAAAGAATAGACTGTTTTATTTTGCAAATAGATAGCTAAATCAACATTCCAGATGTGCTTACTTCCCAGTATATATGCACTAGTCATTTCCAAAAACTATTGATTGACAAAAAACATTCTTTTCAATTTGATCTACATAGTAATGATTTTAATATCCTTAGAACCAAATAACACTATATATAGCATCAGAAATAAATTTTTGTTAAACTGGTTGACTCAGTGAACTATTCTTTTTTATGATATACTTACATGCTTTGTGCAACAAGTAAGTTCATGGAGTTTGAGAAAGCTAAACAGTAGCACACTCATGGACCAGGCATGGTGGCTTATTCCTGTAATCCCAGCATTTAGGGAGGCTGAAGCAGGGGGATCAATTGAGGCTAGGAGTTCAAAACCAGCCTGGGCAACATAGCGGGACCCTGCCTCTACTAAAAAATTAAAAATAGCTATGCATGGTAGCACATGCCTATAGTCCTAGCTACTGAGGAGGCTGAGGTGGGAGGATCACTTGAGCTCAAGAATTCAAGGCTGCAGTGAGCTATGATGGCACTACTGCACTTTAGCCTGGGTGACAGAGTGAGACCCTATCTCACAATAAAGTAAAATAAGAATTAACACACTCATAATAACTATTTAGTTAATAGGAAACTCTGTTTAAGCGATATTGCTTATATTTCTCTCTCATGCTTTTGTAGGTCTGGACTCATCCTCTCAATTATCCACAGAGTATATTGTTAGTGTTTTGTTTAAGCTACCTTTTACACTCAATTAAAACTATTTACTGGAAGTAGGCTAAGGTAATGGGGTGAGAATAGAGATGGTATTATATCATGAAATCTAGGGAAGAGTTTGTAGTCTTAGTTCCCTGCCCCCACAGAGCTTATTACTCTTGAAGAAGCTTTGACTAATTCTACATGACTTATTCCCCTACTTTAACAGACCTGCTATACTAAACTATACCACAGTTTTCCAAGAGAATAATGCTTCTAAATTATATTATCTCTGGTTCCATATAGCTCAACATTCCTCCCTTTCTCTTATTCAAAGTTAGTTTTTATTATGACTCTATGATCATATAGTTTAGTTTTGTTCAGCAGATAATTGGGTACCTCTGTGCCAGGCACTTTACTGGAAATTGGTGATAAAAAAAAAAGAGATAAATAAAGCATATTATCTCTCCAGAAGGCTTGAAATTCTCAGATACCTAGAAAACAATAGCAAAAAAAAAATTACCTATTTTCAGAGAGGGCAAAAGAAATTGCACTTAATGTAGCAAGGCCATAATTTACCCAGTCACAGTACAAACTTTCCTTAAGTATTGGTTTTAGTTTCCTTTGATACATATGGTTTCAGGCCGGGCATGGTTGCTCACACCTGTAATCCCAGCACTTTGGGAGGCCAAGGCGGGAGGATCGCTTGAGGTCAGGAGTTCGAGACCAGACTGACCAACATGGTGAAACCCTGTCTGTACTAAAAATACAAAAAAATTAGCTGGGTGTGATGGCACATGCCTGTAGTCACAACTACTTGGGAGGCTGAGGCAGAAGAATTGCTTGAACCCGGGAGGCGGAGGTTGCAGTGAGCTGAGATCGTGCCACGGCACTCCAGCCTGGGTGAGAGAGAGAGACTCCATCTCAAAAAAAAAAAAAAGATATATATGGTTTCACATATGTCCACTTCTTGAATCTCATATGACATATTGGTAAGCAGGACAGTTGCCTTGGCAACCCAAAGAGTGCCGTACAAGATGTCTATGTATACTCTAAAACTTGCCCCAGTATTTTATTACTGTATGAGCTTGTTAAGGACCAGCAAATTATTTCAAAATTGGGGATATAGAGTTATCAACTATAGCTAACATGGAATAGCTGATTTCTGTATTCGTTGATTTCAACAAACTGTGCATATTAAAATTTAGATATGCAACCTGTGGTGATTCATGTCTGTAATCCCAGCACTTTGGGAGGCCGAGATGGGTAGATCACTTGAGGCTAGGAGTTTGAGACCAGCCTGGGCAACATGGCAAAACCCTGTCTCTACAAAAAATACAAGCCAGGCATGATGCTATGCCCCTGTAGTGTCTGCTACTCAGGAGGCTGAGGCAGAGGTTACAGTGCGCAATGACCATTCCACTGTACTACAGCCTGGGAAACAGAGTGAGACAAAGAAAGAAAAGAAAAAGAAAGAAAGAAAAGAAAAAGAAAGAAAGAAAGAAAAAGAAAGAAAGAAACAGAAGGAAAAGAAAAAGGGGAAGGGGAAGCAAAAAGAAAAGAGAGAAAAGAAAAGAAACAAGGAAAGGAGGGGAGGGCAGGGCAGGACTGCTTAGGAGATGGGTGCACCAAAATCTCACTAATTACCACTAAATAAATTATTCATGTAACCAGATACCACCTGTTCCCCAAAAATCTATTGAAATGAAAAATGTTTAAAAAATAGAAAAAGAAAACTCATTCATAATCCAAAAAAGAAAGAAAGAGTCTCGCCATTTTGCCCAGACTGGCCTTAAACTCCTAAGCTCAAGTGATCCTCCCACCTCAGCTTCCCAAGTAGCTGAGACTACAGGCTTATGCTACCATAGCCACTTCACAGGACAGGTTTTAAGCCAATCAAATCTGTCCAGAGTCATCTTAATGGAAATATTATATTAATTATTTTCTAATACAATTTGTAAACCTCTGTATTTCTAAACCAAATTCTTAAAGACTCCTTAAATTGTTTAAAAGATCTAAATGTTTCTCTTCCCTTCTTATCTTGTAACCTAGTAAGCCAGGCAATTAGCTTAACGATCAGTTAAACCTTTTTTTCCCCAGAGTTGTGTTAAAAGCTATTTGCAACAGGAACATTCTTCATGAGAGCTCATTGACTTTTCTCCCTCTTTTTGTGTTAGACCTATGTATCTGAACTATCTGGGTGTATCCATAATAACAAGAATTGAGTTTTGATCAATTAATAGATTAAGTTTTCTAGAAGACAGAGAAAGAAAGTGAGATGATTACCACAAATATGTAAAGAGTTACTGACCACTATAAAAGTCAAATCACCTTCTCTTTGCAAAGAGTGGGAAAGCCTTAAATGCAAGCAAACCCATTTCAATACATGAGAAAGAAAGGAAGTCATTACAACCAGTTCAAATAGTATCTTGGGCACTTGATAATTCCATCAAGACTATAGGATTAATTAAGTCTTTAAAAGTACTTTCAAGTGAATAATTGTAGTCATATCAAAAGTACTTCAAAATGACCACTGCAATTCCAGGTTGTCCTTGATGAAATTATGCTTTTTAGAAAGATAAATGTGTGAAAGAGAAAACAGAAGCCAGAGTTATGCCTGGAGATAGTGCAAGTTTATTATTAAATGAACCCATGAATTCATTAGCTACTGGTCATTCAAAAGGGAAAAATAGCACTTAAATATTGTACCTAAAGTCCTCAACAGTAAAGGTTGAACCCCTGGCAGCTAACCCTGAAACCTAACAAGCTAGAATGGGTAGAGAGGAAATCTCTCCCAAAGCCAGTTTCTCATAGACAAAACTAAGAAAAGTTCTTATAGGCACACAACAATGTGGCCAACTGACAGATAGGATGGCCAGTTTCAAATCTTTACTAAGAAAAACAAAAATTAGTATAAATCCAATCAGATAACCAAACAATTCTGGAAACCTTATAACAAAAACAATATCAGCTGTCTTTGGGAGTTCAGCAAAAAAACGATCAGACCTCAAAACAAGGGCTGGAGTTAATCTAAGCATCATAGACAAGGAATCTGCCCAAGCAAAAAGGCAGAAGAGACCTCACTGAAATACAGTATAACCAATAATATAACTGGTGGCAAGAGTTCCTGCCTAAGTCTTGGTAGGATTTTCATAATACCAAAATCCTAATACAAAGACCACCAGGGAAACCTGTTGATCATACAAAATGGTTATATTAAAGTTTCTGAGAAAAAGAAAACATCACCTTGACAATGTTGGGGAGGGAAAAATAATTTTTCCTCTACCCTTGTGAGTTCTTACCTGGGACCTCTATAAACGATAGATTAACAAGAAAAAAAGAGAAGTTAGTTAACATGTATACCTCGTGTATATATGGGACATACCCAAGGGAAAATTAGTAACTCCTAAAGTGATGGCTGAGAAGTCTGGCTTAAATAGCATCTTCAGCAAAGAACAGTACATTCTTAGAGAAGTGATGAGACAAAGGACCTTGAGTCTCTAGGGCCGGCAATTTGTGGGAAGGCAAATATATGGGAAACTAATGATAGATTAAAGGCTAGTTAATAAAGTTTGATATATAAATTCCTCTGGCGCCATCTGCAGGCTGATAAGTGTCCAAAGATTTATCCCTCGGGCCAGGCGCGGTGGCTCACGCCTGTAATTCAAGCACTTTGGGAAGCCTAGGCGGGTGGATCACAAGGTCAGGAAATTGAGACCATCTTGGCTAACACACGGTGAAACCCCTACTCTACTAAAAATACAAAAAAATTAGCCGGGTGTGGTGGCGAGGGCCTGTAATCCCAGCTACTCGGGAGGCTGAGGCAGGAGAATGGCGTGAACCCGGGAGGCGGAGCTTGCAGTGAGCCGAGATCGCATCACTGCACTCACTACAGCCAGGGCGACAGAGCGAGACTCCGTCTCAAAAAAAAAAAAAGATTCATCCCTCCAGGGGTCGCGGGGGGAGTTACCTTTCTTAATTTATGTCCTACTTTTAGGCAAACAGGAGAAAAGCAGAGAGCGTTTCTTATATTTTTCTTCTCAAGTGCCTTCGGCTAAAAAATATTTGTTATGCTGGCATATTTTGGGGTAGTATATTCTGCTACCCTTCAACAGAGTCTCAGTGGTGTTTCACAACTGGGAAGTCATAAGATTTTTATGAGGGTATTTATAGGATTTTGAGGACTAGGGTTGGCCATGGGATAGTTTTAAGGTAGAAGTTATTAAGCAAAGTCCGAGCAGAGATTGGTCGGAATTTGTAAAATAGGTGAATTGGTGGATCACAGTCAGTCTTATCTTCAGAGCATATGAATCCATGTGGAACTACTGTTAAAACAAGTTGTCCATGATCTTATCTTAAAGTATATGGATCTGAACAAGCTTGTGTTAAAAACAATTTATTTCAAGTTACATGTCCTGGTTTGGTACAGTTTAGCTGTTATGCAAATAATGGTATAGTTTTGCAAGTTGATGTTTCTGTTTTATTTCTCAGAAGGAAATAGTTTGTAGGCAAGGCAGCCAATTATAAGGCTTTCACAGAAATTCAGACATAATGTAATGAATGTCTAGAATTGTTTTGGGAGGTAGTAAAAGAGTGAATGAAAATGTAGGGTCAAGGAAGAGATGGATTAGAATATTCTTAATGATTGAGGCTTTTGGGAAGAGTGGGCTACAAAGGGGAAAACAAAGTTAAATGTTTAGGCCAGGCGCAGTGGCTCACGCCTGTAATCCCAGCACTTTGGGAGGCCGAGGTGGGCGGATCACCTGAGGTCAGGAGTTTGAGACCAGCCTGACCAACAGTAGAGAAACACCATCTCTACTAAAAATACAAAATTAGCCGGGCGTGGTGGCGCATGCCTGTAATCCCAGCTACTCGGGAGGCTGAGGCAGGAGACTCGCTTGAACCCACGAGGCAGAGGTTGCAGTGAGCCGAGATCACGCCATTGCACTCCAGCCTGGGCAACAAGAGCTTGATGCTGTCTCAAAAACAAAAACAAACAACAACAAAAAAGTTTAATGTTTAAAAAGTGGGAAGATAGTGGCCAGGTATGGTGGCTCACACCTCTAATCCAAGCACTTTGGGAGGCTGAGGCAGGTGAATCACTTGGGGTCAGGAGTTCAAGACCAGCCTGGCCAACATGGCAAACCCCCGTCTCTACTAAAAATGCAAACATTAGCCAGGCATGGTAGTGTGCGCCTGTAGTCCCAGATAGGAAGCTGTGGTAGGAAGATCGCTTGAACCCAGGGGGTGGAGGTTGCAGTGAGCTGAGATTGCGCCACTGCATTCCAGCCTGTGCAACAGAATAAGACTCCATCTCAAAAAAAAAAAAAAAGAGGTGGGAAGATAGTGGTACCATTGATAATACCAAAAATGGGAAATTGAACTTGGTGACTTGATATGGAGATGATGGGTTATGTTTTGTTTTACCTCATATTTTTTTCTTTTGAAACTGTAATAAATTTCAGACATCATTCCCAAGATGACTGGAAGTATAACAGAAAATAAGATTCAGTTTTAAAAGGAAAAATTGTGAGTTTATTCTAGTATATTTAGCCTTATACTCTTCCATTTAATTCTGTATTGTTTTATTTGAAATTATTTAAAATACACTGTAAATCCCACACCCTCATTTAACTAGCTATTTTTTCGTTATGTCAGTTTTACAGACAAATAATGGGTTCTCCAGTGATCTCTAATTTTCCGTTATTTCTGGAACTGTTTGCAGCAAAATAACAGAGAGGAACATAAATAGCAAAGAAAACACCCTGATAACAGAGGAATCTTACTTAGTTCGTGGTCAATACCCTGCTTTGAAAAAAATGATATAATCACACATTTTTCTTTCTAAAGCAACTAGTTTGATTAATGGAGTTAAAGAGCTGCAAGCCTTGCCCCTTATAAAATTATAATCACTTTAATAACTGTGTTAATTAAGATCAGAAAATTAATCTATGTTAGCATTGCAGTAGCAATTTTCCAAGTACTGCCAGGGAGTAAGAATGAAAGTGGGTTACAATGTCACATGGCATCTGATTAAGTTAAATTAGTAAGTATTCGAAGGGAAGACTCCCTGGTGACACTGAATAAGATGGTCACAGTTTTCCTGTAGCCTATTGTAAGGGGACAGTTGGTTGCAAAGCTACTACTTTTCCAATATAAAGTCAAAAATCTGGCCACATACTATCACTAATGAGTCTGAAGGAAGATTAGGACTTGTGGTTATTGTCTGGGAGAATTCATATAATAAGCTCTGGTGTTGGCCATATTAGTAGCTAAAACATCTTAAATGTGCAGGCTTGCCTTTAACCTCCTAAAATAATAGTCCAGGTTTTCTCACTTCAAGTAAGTACTTCTTTTTTTACTTTATAATTTCTGAAATCAAAGCATATCTTAAAACTGATACATAAATTGTTGTAAGAATGTATCTGTGTATGTGAAGGACCCCCTACTCTTAGGTATTTTATAATCTAATAGTCTATGTTCACATTATAAACTGATGTCATCTGTACTAGCATCTAGGGGTAACAATATGAGAACAATTGGGAGGAAAGTAGGTGATCCTTTGACGTCATATGTCATAAAGAAAGGAAAGAGAATCACATTTATTGTACATTTATCTGCATAAACTGAATGTTCATTATCTCACTCCTAACAATTACCTTGCAAGGTAGTTATTATTACTATATTTTATAAATGAGAAAATTACGACAAAGAATTTTGTCAACTTGAATTTGAACCCTGTTGGAATCCAAAGCTCTTCCTACTCTACAATCTGACTACCTCATTGGAACATCCTAAGGTAGAATAAGCTTCGTTAATTTTCTTCGTAGACATAGTAGATATTAAATCTCTAAAGATTAATTCAGTTCAGAATAATGGAATTGTGCATACATGTAGCTAAGTATTACTTAAGTTTGCTAGTATCAGAGACAAAACATCTGTCTTCCTCTCCTTCACATAAGCTTAGCTTCTTTGATACTGTTGACCCCACTTCAGAAAAGAGACAAAAAAGTTTGAAAGAAAAGATAAACTATTATTCTGTTCAGACTTAAGGATATCATGTCACACAATCTATACCTCAAATATTCCCAATGGAAGACAAATTGGAAAATAATATTGGGAGAAAAAAAGATAATTGTTTTATTTAGTTTGGCCAGTATCTCCAGAGCATTATTATCAAATTGGAGCCCAACCTGGTGGGATATTTTGCATGCAGTTCAATCGCCAGTGAAATTTCAGAGTGTTTTTTGACTTCCATAGGAACATTTTCTCATCCTCCTATACTTTCAATATTTATTTAAAGATCCTTTGGGCATTCACCTTCAAAATGCCAGATACCATTGTAGGTGCTAGATATGCTAAACTCAGTTTAGTAGATTTTTTTTTCATTAGAAATATGCAACATTAACCTAATAGAATAATTTGTGGTGGTTTTTTGGCTTTGTAGCTGCTAAATCCTGAAGATGACCTCTTACCAGGGAAGATTCGAGACAGCAATCGTTCAACTCTTCTAGCAACAATTCAGGAACATGGTTACCCCACGATCAACTTGGGTATTGTAGGAGACAAGTAAGTATTTGATGTCATTCTGAAAAGTTTGTATTGTACAAATACGAGTTTTTGGAATACTCATTAGGTGGAGTTGCTGCTAAAGAGACAGAAATTTAATGTCATAATTTTCACTTATCTCATTCTTCAGAAGCCAAAGAATATTGAGGTATCTATGTCCTTTAGAGATAAAGATTTCTTGGAATGTCTCTGAAAACAAGAGAAATACTTTACTTTCCTGTAGTATGTTAGGTTTCAAAGGATGTTTTTGTAATAGTTTTGGTTTTATCCCAATGGAGCTAACAGTGATGGCATTATTCTGATGCACATTTTTACTTCTTTCAAGAAAGACAGGAAAAGCATAGGTAAGAAGAGAAAGAGAGATTGTCAAAAGTAGCACTACCTAATTCTTTGAAATTTAAGTACAATTTTTTTCTAGGACTTCTATATTGATTTTTGTGTCTTTATGTAACCTGTTTCTCCAGGCTTTACCTACTTGAAAGTACAAAGGGAAGCACAATGACTATAATTACTCAATTTTTAAGAGCCTATTACCCCCATCTACTGAATTAACTCAGCCCTCTGCTAAGTTTTCTAAGTATTTCTGTGAATCTCCAGTGCTGTCTCATGTGTGATCAAAAGCAAGTCTACACTTTCTAAACATCCTAGTATCATGCAACACTGCTGCCTGGCTGTCTTTCAAAAGTCACCCTTTCCATTTCACTAGAGCTACACCTGCTTTTAGTAATACTCAAATATCAACCCAATGGAGACAAGGCTCAGAGACAGATCTGAGTGATAAATACTCATGATGTATCTATCACCCATAATCCCCTTTCTCTCTTATCACTACCTCATCACTGTGTAGACCTCATTAAGCATGGATCCTTCTTCCCTTATGTTGAGTACTTTCCCAAAACTCAGATGTGCTTTTGAAGAGGTTCTGACCTACCATTCACAAGGTAGGATCTGACAAGGCATGCTGTGAACTTTATCTTAGGCTCACACTGGACATAGTCTAACCTAAGCTTGTCCAGGCCAGGCACAGTGGCTCACGCCTGTAATCCCAGCACTTTGGAAGGCCAAGGCGGGTGGATCACTTGAGGCCAGGAGTTGGAGACCAGTCTGACTAACATGGAGAAACCCCATCTCTACTACAAAATAGAAAAATTGCCTAGGTGTGGTGGTACACATCTGTAATCCCAGCTACTCGGGAGGCTGAGGCATGAGAATCATTTGAGCCTGGGGGGCGGAGGTTGAAGTGAGCTGAGATCGTAACACTGCACCCCAGCCTGGGAAACAGAGTGAGACTCTGTCTCAAAAAATAAATAAGTAAACAAATTAAGCTTCTCCAACCCGTGGCCCATGGACCACGTACAACCCAGGACAGCTTTGAATGTAGCCCAACACAAATTCATAAACTTTCTTAAAACATTATGAGATTTTTTTGCGATTTTTTTTTTTAGCTCATTAGCTATCATTAATGTATTTTATGTGTGGCCCAAGACAATTCTTCTTCTGATGTGGCCCAGGAAAGCCAAAAGATTGAACACCCCTGGTCTAAACCTTGGACACAAGCATCTTGCCAGTAACCTGAAAGGTAGTAGCTTTTATGTCATCTAACCTTTTGAAGTTCTCTTCTTTCCTCCTGATTTTTTTTTCTTTCTCTGAGGACACTGGAGTGGAAGCTGGTGTATTTTCAAATGTCATTCTTTTTAAAATCTTCACCATTTGTATTTGCATGGATGTTTAGCTCTAAAGAAGTTTGGCCAGGAGTGGTGGCTCACACCTGTAATCCCAGCACTTTGGGAGGCCAAGGCAGGTGGATCACCTGAGGTCAGGAGTTTGAGACCAGCCTGGCCAACATGGTGAAACCCTGTCTCTACTAAAAATATGAAAATTAGCTGGGGGTAGTGGTGCGCACCTGTAATCCCAGCTACTCGGGAGGCTAACACAGGAGAATCACTTGAACCCGGGAGGTGGAGGTTGCAGTGAGCTGAGACTGCACCATTGCACTCCAGCCTGGGCAACAAAGCGAGACTCCAGGGCCCCTCGTCCTAAGAAGGGAAAGTAAAGCCAGTGTACAGGAAGGAAAGGGGGGAAAAAGCCAGTTATTTGAATTTGGGCCTTAGCAGTAACCTATCCTTTAAGATACAAGTACTTAAAAACTATCCTATCCAGATACAGCTTTTCCAAAGACCAAAATCAACTTCTGAGAAGAGAAGTGATAAATCCAAGAGTTTGAAAACACAAAGATAAGGCAAGCAGGCTTGAAACTTCATGGAACAAACACCAGATTCTTAGGGTTATTTCCCTCCTACCAATGGCTCTGGCCCTACCTCTAAGTGCGTTAATGAGCTCTAAGAAATAGTATAAGGAAAAAGGGAGCTTTTAAATTGTTTTTACCCTAATTTGTTCTGGACTATAATTCTGCCCATTCTCCCTCTTACTGTTATACTTTTTTTTTTAAAGAGGTTACTTAATATACTGTATATACTGCCATTATCTTGAAGTACTCTAAAGGCCAAAACATCATTGAAAGGCCAACATGTTGGTATGCTGATATTTTTCTGGGATCCACACTGTTAATTTGTGGTGGACATTTCCTAATAATGGTGATATTGCATTTAACTCCAAAATATACTTTGAAAACAGTATAAAGAACAACAAAACTATAAACAGGTTAAGGCAATTCAGTGAATGTACAAATCTCTAGTGTATACCCTTTTCTTGAATAGTAATACCTTATATCAAACTGAGAACAATTTAAAAAAAAAAGAAATTGATGCAAATCTAGGCTTTCTTAGTCTTAGAGTGCTATATTGAAGGGGTCCAGAGTGAATGGTGTAGAATGCAGAGGTGGAATGTGGGAGGAAAGAATTTATAATTGTTCTAATGGAAATCTGTGCTGGGAGTTTAGCAAAGAAAACAAGGTATTTAATCTACAGCCTATTGATATTCTGTGAAGGCTACCCTCCTTCATTCTTCTTCATCCTATTCAGCCATTTGCTAAGGAAAGCAAATATTGTCACACAGAAGCATCTGGGTAAAGCTCTCCAGGGAAACAAGCAGAGTCATGGGAGAAACTGTACCCTAGGTTTAAAGCAGGGAGAGAAATAGCTCAAGAATGTCAATAAGGGCGAGGTGCAGTGGCTCACGCCTATAATCCCAGCACTTTGGGAGGCCAAGGCGGGCGGATCACCTGAGATCAAGAGCTGGAGACCAGCCTGACCAACGTGGCGAACCCCCGTCTGTACTAAAAATACAAAAATTAGCTAGGCATGGTGGTGCATGCCTATAATCCCAGCTACTTGGGAGGCTGAGGCAGGGGAATCGCTTGAATGTGGGAGGTGGGGGTTGCAGTGAGCCAACATCGTGCCACTGCACTCCAGCCTGGGTGACAGAGCGAGACTCTGTCTCAAAAAAAAAAAAAAAGTCAGTAAGCACAGAACCTTACTCAACTATGACAGATAAGGGTAGAGAGTGACAGCTCTATTTGTATCATTAAAAAAGGTTTGAGTCTGGTTTTTAAATTCTATATGATTCTATTTCTCAGCTCTTATTCTTATCACCTGCCATAATTTTGACAATCAAAGTAAAAATAGAAGAATAAGACTTTGTAGCTCTTTGAAGTGAGTTGGACTAAATGGCCTTTGCTTACTATACCTTTTATTTTAAAAGGTTAATTTAATAGTACTATGAAGATTACTGGAGGGATGCTTCAAATACCTGAGAATTAACAACTGTATTTGAAAATCATTCATTTGTAAACATTATATATATATTAAAATACATTTCTTGTTTTCTCACACTGTTTGGAACACAGTACTGTTGGAGTTCCTATAGTCTTTTTCTTTAAAGAGACACATTTTGAAACCCAGAGATATTAAGTAACTTGCCCAGCATTATACTACTAGTTAGTGGCAGAGATAAAAATGGAATCTAAATTTCCTGAGATTGACAATCCATAATTCTCTACTATCATTATAAAGACAAGATATTGTATACCTGTGTACTACTGTGGGCTGGATTGGTCAGACAGAGTTTTATAAACCTCTAGTTTCAAGCTAGAACTTAAAAGAATGAGTAGGATTTAGATAGGAAAAGAGAGTGTGTTAATCCAAGTAGGAAACTGAATGCACAAAGTAGAGAAGTAGAAACAAATAGTGTCTAGAGAATTAGAAATGAACAAGAGATTCAGGTAGAAG
Organism: Homo sapiens; assembly: GCF_000001405.40. Lineage (NCBI taxonomy): Eukaryota > Metazoa > Chordata > Mammalia > Primates > Hominidae > Homo > Homo sapiens. Next base: position 67,126,565 of record NC_000014.9, read on the forward strand.
GATAAGACAGGTAAATTGAGTAGAAATTTGAACCAGATTTTGAAAGGATGTGGAGAAATAGGAACACTTTTACACTGTTGGTGGGACTGTAAACTAGTTCAACCATTGTGGAAGTCAGTGTGGCAATTCCTCAGGGATCTAGAACTAGAAATACCATTTGACCCAGCCATCCCATTACTGGGTGTATACCCAAAGGACTATAAATCATGCTGCTATAAAGACACATGCACACGTATGTTTATTGCGGCATTATTCACAATAGCAAAGACTTGGAACCAACCCAAATGTCCAACAATGATAGACTGGATTAAGAAAATGTGGCACATATACACCATGGAATACTATGCAGCCATAAAAAATGATGAGTTCCTGTCCTTTGTAGGGACATGGATGAAATTGGAAATGATCATTCTCAGTAAACTATCGCAAGGACAAAAAACCAAACACCGCATGTTCTCACTCATAGGTGGGAATTGAACAATGAGATCACATGGACACAGGAAGGGGAATATCACACTCTGGGGACTGTTGTGGGGTGGGGGGAGGGGGGAAGGGGGAGGGATAGCATCGGGAGATATACCTAATGCTAGAAGACGAGTTAGTGGGTGCAGCGCACCAGCATGGCACATGTATACATATGTAACTAACCTGCACAATGTGCACATGTACCCTAAAACTTAAAGTATAATAAAAAAAAAAAAATGGCTTTGCAATTTAGGCTGCCAAACTACCCAATTCAGTTAAATTTGAAGTTTGGGTATTTTTTGGTTTGTTTGGGTTTTTGTTTTTGTTTTTGTTTTGCCGAATTGACATAAAAAACAATTATTTTAAAAAGATCAATTGACCTAGATTTATCATATAAGCTAATGATGGAGACTGGAAATAAGGAGAACAATACAATTTGTTTACTCATTGTTTAATCAGTCACCAGGAAGTATTGATTGTGTACCTGTGAGTCGTCTGGAGATCTTATTGAAAATGTTGATTATACTTTAACAAATCTGGGGTGGGCTGAGATTTTGCATCTCTGACAAGCTCCAAAATTATACCAAACTGCAGGTCTGTGGAACACAGGAAGTATCAAGAATATAGTAAGATCAGTCATGCGTCTGCTATGAATTTTAAGCCAAAGGCTATGGAAGATACAAAATTGAAACAGATATTGATCTTACTTTTGAAGAATCACAAATTCCAAGCAGTAAAAATATTTTAGAAGGTTCCAGAACTTAAACTCAAATTTGGAACTATAAGAAGAAAGAGATTAAATAAAGAGAAATATTGAAGTCTATTATGTAGAAGAGAGCAGTGTCACTGTTGAATTATCTTTGTCTGGATTACAAAGCCTCAAAATGGTATGTGTATGTAAACACAAAATGCCTGGAAAAGCAAGCTGTTAGGCCTCTTTACCACAATTTTATATTCCTGTGTAGCAACATACTATTTCCATGTCTTCATTCTCCACTCAAAATCTATTATTTCTTGGCTTTTATAGCTCTTTTTGCTATGCTCATTCCCCTAAATATAGGTCTCCCCGTGGCTTACCCTTGGCTTTCTGTCCTTTTCATTCTGTATGCTAATGACTGACTACCAAATCTTATATCCCCAGCCCAAATATGAAACTAGTAAAGCCTAGATATTCTGAATTGGCACAAATTTATGTGAGTTTATATACTTTTAAGCACAACCCTATTTCTACTTTTTTTTTTTTTTGAGACGGAGTCTCGCTCTGTCGCCCAGGCTGGGGTGCAGTGGCGTGATCTCGGCTCACTGCAACATCTGCCTCCCGGGTTCAAGTGATTCTCCTGTCTCAGCCTCCCGAGTAGCTGAGACGACAGACACCCACCACCGTGCCCGGCTGCTGTTTCTACTTTTTTCCCAAAATACATTTTATTTGAAAAAAGCAAGTTGCAGAATAACATGTTTAATTTTATCTCACATTGAATAGCAACTGAACAAACATATATTTATAAATATGGTATATGCATGGGAAGGTATTTATATGTAGAAATACCCTATACACCCAAGTGTTATTTCTAGTAGTAAGAGTTTGCATATGGGGTAGAAGTTAGAGAATTAAAAGTGATGGTAAGGGCCAGCCACTGTGGCTCGTGCCTCTAATCCCAGCACTTTGGGAGGCCAAGGCAGGTGGATCACAAGGTCAGGAGTTCAAGATCAGCCTGGCCAGTATGGTGAAACGCTGTCTCTACTAAAAATACAAAAATTAGCCGGGCGTGGCGGTGGGCGCTTCTAATTTTTTTTTTTTTTTTGAGACGGAGTTTCGCTGTTGTTGCCCACACTGGAGTGCAATGGTGCGATCTCAGCTCACTGAAACTTCTACCTCATGGGTTCAAGCGATTCTCCTGCCTCAGCCTCCCAAGTAGCTGGGATTACAGGCATGCACCACCACACCCAGCTAATTTCGTATTTTTAGTAAAGACAGGGTTTCTCCATGTTTGTCAGGCTGGTCTCAAACTCCTGACCTCAGGTGTTCCACCTGCCTTGGCCTCCCAAAGTGCTGGGATAAAAGGTGTGAGCCATCGTGCCCAGCCACTTCTACTTTTTTTTTTTAATATTTCTGAAATACTTGAATATTTTTACCCTGAGGATATACTGTATTTCTTTTGTAATAAAAGAACCTCCTAAAAATTCCCCTTATGCATTATTAAAAATTTGGTGGACCAGTATTGACAACTGTAATCAAACTTTCCAAAACGGACAAAAGAGGCAAGCAGCTCATCTAAGGAATCTGAATCTAAGTAAGAGCTATTAATACTATTAGGTGTGTAATGCCATAAACATAGTGATAAGTAGGCAAATTAAAAAGAAGCCAAAGTCTTGCTGCATTTTAAGTAAAATTATAATATTTTGTAATACAACAAAAGTTTAAATCAAAAGATTATAGAAAACATACTTAAATGCAAAATCTTAATGTCTATATTGACTTTGAATTTTATTTCTCATACTATTTTGCAATTGCTCAAATAATAAGACTTGAAAATTTAGCCATAGTATATATTTGTAGAACTTGACAGATAACTAATGTAATAGAAACCTTAGCCTACCTACATTTTGTTTTCTCCAAGCATAAAAAGTATTTCATAGCTATGTTTTGTTTTCCAGAACCCATGGTGATAAACTGTTCATATTAGATATTTTCCCCCAATAGATGATAGGTTGGCAGCATCATTGACTAGAAAGAAAGAAAGAAAGAGAGAAAGAAAGAGAGAGAGAGGGAGAGGGAGGGAGGGAGGAAGGAAGGAAGGGAGAGGGAGGGAGGAAGGAAGGAAGGAAGGCGGAGGGAGGGAGGAAGGCAGGAAGAAAGAGAAAGAAAGAAAGTCTTTAATGTTACCCTTGACAAAATATCAACTATTTTACCTCATCTAGAATTCTACAAAATAATAATGTAATATATTGGCTTTGAATTTTCAACCTCTCATTATAAATTCTTTTTCTTCATTTTCATGTCGTTCTTTCTTCTTTTGATTGCACAGTGCCTTTCTATTCTTTCTGTTCTTTTCACTCAAATGCATTCTTTATATATTTACATATTTTCTACTTTTTAAATTTTAGATGCAGGGGCTAATGTGCAGGTTTGTTACATGGGTATTTTGGGTGATGCTGAGGTTTTGAGAACCAATGATCACGTCACCCAGGTAGTGAGGATAGTACCCAATAGTTAGGTTTTAGGCCCCTTACCCCTCTCCCTCCTTCCCTCCTCTAGTAGTTCCCAGTGTCTATTGTTGCCATCATTATGTTCATGAGTACCCAGTGTTTAGCTCCCACTTACAAGTAAGAACATGCAGTATTTGGTTTTCTGTTCCTGCATTAATTCAGTTAGGATAATGGCCTCCAGCTGCATCCATGTAGCTGCAAAGGACATGATTTCATTCTTTTCTATAGCTGTGTACTATTCCATGATGTATATGCACCACTTTTTTTTTATCCAGTCCACCATTGAAGAGCATTCTATGTCTCTGCTATTGTGAATAATGCTGCAATGAACTTAAGAGTGCATGTGTCTTTTTGGTAGGATGATTTGTTTTCTTCTGGATATATACCCAGTGATGAGATTGCTGGGTTGAATGGTAGTTCTCAGTTCTTTGAGAAATCTCCAAACTGCTTTCCACAGTGGCTGAACCAATCTACACTCCCACCAACGGTGTGTAAATGTTCTCTTTTCTCTGCAGCCTCACCAAGATCTATTATTTACTTTTTAGTAATAGCCATTTGGACTGGTGTGAGATGGTCTCTCATTGTGGTTTTGATTTGTATTTCTCTGTGATTAGGGATATGTTAAATGATCATATCCCTAAACATATGTTCATATGTTTGTTGGCTGCTTGTATGTCTTCTTTTGAGAAGTGTCTGTTCAGGTTTTTTGCCCATTTTCTAAGGGATCTACCTTAAATATGGAACAGCAGATGTCCTAGTTTTCTTTTCCCCGAGGCTGGTTCAATAACCTATTAGCCTCCTTTAGTCCTCCTAGACAGTGTGAGCTACTGTAGGGGAAGAGTTGAAGACAAAGAAATGTAGATGGGTAAATAAGTACTGAATGCTATATGTGCTAGCCAAGCAGTTGTGGCCAGAACTTAGTAAGATATTGGTCATTTGAGCACATATATTTTTCTCTGTTACTGCTTTTTTTTTTTCTTTTTTCTCAGTTTCCTAATAAATTTGCTTTGAGAAGTTGTTGTCTTGTATGGCTTAAACAGGGTGGAAAAAGGATTTGTGAGTATTGGGCCAGGGTTGTTTTCTTTCCCACCAGATAAGCTCCATGAATACTAGGACAAAGTGTATGTTGGTAAACACTATATCCACAGCACTTAGTAGGGATACATTAAACAGCCCTGCCATCTTTTCCTATACCATTCTCTCTTTCCATGAAACCTAGAAACTTTCAATTATACAACAGTCCAGAAGAATCTTACAGGGCCCCTTCAAAGTAAGTCCAAAAGCCTTGACCATAGGAGCAGGCCAGAAAGTATGGTACTGACAGTAGAGTTGCATTCCTGAGACACATCCCCAAAAAATGTACAGTGTAAAGCTTTGTGGCTGGGTGGTTCATTTTATATTTCTGAAGAAAAGCATCTTGGGAGAAATTCCAAATAGATTTAGCAGGCTTTTAATTTAAAAAATTGAGGAGCAGCTCTCTCAGGCTTGAAAAGATCTTACAAATTTACTTCTTGAATATAACAAGCGGTAATCATTATCCAAATAGAATCCACTTGGGGAAATTTTTTTAAATAAATTTCAGCATTAATTGAGTTTATATAATTCCTCAAACTGATTTTAAGTATTGAATAAGGATTCAACTTTATGACAGCTCAGCAATATAGCTTCTGAACTGCCAACTTGGACCTTCTAGCCTTTCAAGGCCTGAAGGAAGGGCTGGGAAATTCCCATCATTAAGAAGATTTCCCCCTTCTGGAAAATTGCCATCACAGAAGCCTGCCCCACTCAAATCCTGGGCTTACTTGACTATGTCATAGATTGATGTTTTGTATTTGAACTGCCTCCTCTTGCTGCTGCGAATTTGTGAAGCTACCTCTTTATATTAAAGCAAGAAGCAGAAGGACAAATACTGAGATAGAAAATTGGGTTCTTAAAAACCTGGCACATTTAGCAGGAATTATCAAGATAGACTTAACAGCACAGTGATTATTTGGGCAAAGCCGAGTGCCTTACAACTTCCAATTTGTGAACCAAACACATCCTAATTTTTCATTGCTTACCCAATGTTCTTAAAGTAGGAGTTTTCTAATCATCAACGATAATTTAGATCTGAATTTAATTGGTTCTTGTCATTTTTATAAACTATCTGCTCTCCTTATGGCATGAACCTCCTTTTCTGCTCAAAATGCAAAGTTTTCATTTTTGAGTCAACATAATAGATTTATTTTCTTCTTTTTTTTTCTTTTACTCCTAGCAAGCTGGGATAGATTTATTTTCTGATCATTTTTCAGCAGAGGTTTCTCATTTTCTATTGGTTAACAAAGAACATTCTTTCTACCTTAACAAACGTGTTTAATGACGAGAGGTTCTTTCCGATCTCAGTGATAGACTTTTTATGTAGCTGTTAGAGTTGCCCTCCTTTATCTTTAAGCGTTGCTATTGCAGTTGACATTTCTGTTTCTTCTATGAATAACCTCTAGGTATTACTGTAGCTTTAGACATTGTTTTCCTACCCCAAACTCATAAAAAGTAATGTCTTCCAGAAAGCCTGTCCTAATTATCTCCAACTAATTCTAATCATTCTATCCCATTTACCCTTTTTGTCATTTCTTTATATTATATATAAATATATGATATATATTTTTTCATTTTAATTAATGTATTTGAATTCAACAGATGATATTAATGTCATTGCTTATTTCACTCATTTTTCTAACTTTTTTTCACTGATGAGTTTTCTGCACTAGCTTATAAACTTAAAGGCAAGAACCATGCTTTCTTCTTTCTTTACATGACTCCATGGTCCCAGAACACCCAGTGAGACTGGAAAAGAATGAAATGATGGCTATATGTGTAGTATGTAGTTTGATTCCATACGTGAAGTAGACACCCAGAAAAGATTTGTAGTTAATGAATTTATCTTTGACCTCTGAAGAAACTATGATATGATAATAGATGTCCTCAGCTATTTTTTGTTACCTTGGTATGATTAACTGCCAACATTCTTTAATCCACACATCCTAGACTTTTTCTCTGTGTCATCTTCACTCATCTTAAAATGATGCAGCTTGCAGTTGGTGTAACAGATGAAACAGGAAACTAATTAGCAGCTGTTGTCCATCTGTGTGTTTATATTAAATATTTTAAAATAGAAATGTATTTGCATTCTGAATACTGTTTCTGAAATTCATAAATCCTAAACTTGGGTAAATGCTGTAAAATTCAAAACCAAGACAGAGCCTTTACCATTTATCTTCATGATAAAGCAAAAATAATTTTATGCCAGAATCAGGATTATAGTAATTTGAGGCAGATGTAAATTTTAAAAAGCAAAAAAAGTCTTAACTTTTTTAAGTTGCTTTGGAATTGAGCCCCCAAAGCAATCAAATTGAAATCTGAAAAGATACAGTGTTCAAAAGATGTCATACCCTCTGAATATATTCTTTCTTCACAGAAACTGATGAGTACATACACTTTTGAGAAAGCTGCATTCATTCTCTGACAGATTTATTTTGAAACATGCTCCTCCTTTCTCTTTTTCTACCTTTCTATTAAGTGCGTGGTTCTTTGACATGTGATCAACTTAGAACTCTACAGAGAGTGCTATTAATATTGGTAGCCATCTTCCAAGTTGAAGATGAATGTCATGGCTTTAGGAAGAAAAGATACCGTTATTCATTTCACTCAAGTCAAATAGGCAAATGTTTCTTATGTTCAAAAATGAAAGGGAGAAGAGTATTATCTACAAGACAAGTATCAAATTGCATCAGTCAGGTCAGATTGGTGTTTCCCTCTATGCTTCAGTTTATATGTGAAAAGAAAATAGTCATTGTGTTTATGTAACTTTCAGTATTTCCATAGAATCACAGTATCTTATTCTGATGTTAGCTAGTCCAGACTTTCACCCAAGGGGGTGTTAAGGAAAATCTGCAACAACTTAGCTGTTAGGTTTTTGTTTGAATTCTTTTAGTGAGAAAGATCTCTACTGCCTCATGAGGTAGCACATTCTATTGTTCGATGGCTGTTAAAGTAAGTATGTTTTTCCATTACACAGAGCCAGTCTTTCTTCCTGTGTCTTTCATCTGTTAGCCCTAATTCTGCCCTCCAAGCAATGCCAAATAAGTTGGCTTCCTCTTTTACATGATATTTGAATATACAGTTGTTTCACCTTAATCCCTTCTCAAAGTACTGTTTATGATTATATGTTTAGCAGTATCTTTTCTTTCATCCCAGACAATATTATTAGCCTATGATATTATAATTGAGTAACTAAACTATTTACTCCCAAAGCTACTGTGGATAGACTGACTTGAAATCAAGTTTCATTCAGCCCATTTACTGAGTGCCTACAATGTGCAGGAATTTGGTGGGACAATCAGGAAGTCTGGATGAAATGAGACGCTGTCTTGTGAGAGAGTTGTATACTGCTGCATCACCTTTACAAAGTTTCCTTTTATCACAATTTGTTGTGTCTCTTTATTCTTTTTTTTAACATCAAATCCCGTTTTGACATTAATATTACTACTCCTGCTTTTTTGCTTATTTACATTTGCCTGGTGACTTTTTGCCCTACTTGTTATTTTCTTTCTTTCTTTCTTTTTCCTTCTTTCTTTCTCTTTCTCTTTCTTTTTTAATTTTTCTTTTCTTTCTTTTTTCTTCTTTATCTTTCCTTTCTCTCTCTTTCTTTCTCTCTTTTTTTCTCTTTCTTTCTTTCTTCTTTTTTTTTTTTTTTTTTTTTTTTTTGACAGAGTCTTACTCTGTCACCCAGGCTGGAGTGCAATGGCACAATCTCAGCTTACTGCAACCTCCATCTCCCAGGTTCAAGTGATCCTCCTGCCTCAGTGTCCTGAGTAACGGGCATTACGGGCACCTGCCACCACACCCAACTAATTTTTATATTTTTAGTAGAGACAGGGTTTCACCATGTTGGCCAGGCTGGTCTCGAACTCCTGACCTCAAGTGATCCACCTGCCTTGGCCTCCCAAAGTGCTGGGATTATAGGTGTGAGACACCATGCCCAGCCTAGATTTAGCTATATTTTTTATAAAGGACTGTGTGTGTGTGTTTCACTACTGTTTTCTCTCCTCCAACTTCCCCTACCTTGAAGTCTATGTTCTGAATCATTTTTTCATTTACAGTCATTTTTCCAGAACATTACTTGGTGATTTGTCATCTGAATCTTTGCATTCTAACAAGTATCATTCTTCCATTTTGATTAGTGAATGACTGGATGTAAGATTTGAGGGTTGTATGGCTTGAAGAGATATGTTGATGTTAATTTACTATTTTCTAGTTTTTGGTATTGTAGGTAAGAAGTCCAAAGCCAATATTACTTTTTCCTTTGTTAGTAACCCAATCTTCCTATTAAATATTTGGTAGCTTGTAAGATTTTCTGTTTATTTTTGAAATTCCAAAATTGTACCAGGACATATTTAGGTTTATGTTTTTGTTTTGCTTTTTTTTTTAAATCAATCTTGGCTGGAACTTAGTAAACCTTTTCAATTTCCAAGTCCAACTCTTCTCAAATAAATAAAATTTTCCTCTTTTCCCCCCTATCTCTTCCTTTATTTCCTTATGGAATTCCTATTGGTAGTATGTCAGTCTCTTGCTCTGTCTTCTTATTATTTTCTGCATGACTTCTATCTTTTGCACTTTTGCACAATCCTTGGAGATATTTCTACCACTTGATCTTCCAAGCAACTAATTGAATTTTTGACAAGGACTGTAATTACCTTCATCTACTAAATCTTAAAATTTGAAAATCACATATTTTGTTCCAGAACACAGTGTTAATGTCATAATTGAATCTGTATTAGTGTTTTAATTGCTTATTATTGTTATTAAAATTATCTATTGCCCCAGAAGTTTTATTTCTCTAGGTATCCTAAATATTATGCTCATTCTTCCACTCTCCAGTTGGTTGTTACTTAGGTTGCTGGTATTTTCCTCTCCCTACTGAAAGTTCGATTCACCCTAAGGGTTCTGGAAGCTGCTAGGGTACTTTGGGCCTGGTGAGAATGGAGTTACAGTGGGAAAGAGGATCATGAGTGGCAAAAGGAAGAGAAGTGTCAATTCCTGAATTAGCAAAGCACAAAATGGCAAGCTGCTAGTCTTCTATTAAAGTACAAAAAATAAACAGTCCAAGCCTCTGTGCTTCCTGGACGGTTTTGTTGTGAAGGCTGGACTTTCCCAGCCTTTAAAGGATAGGGCAGTCTTAGTATTTTTTCAAGTAGACTTCAGACTTCTGGGTCAACCTAAAAAAATTTATAGCTTTGCCCTTGATCTGGATCCCAACCAACCACAAATTCTTAGAATCAGTGAATGTTAGAGATGAAAAAGACATACTCCAAATGTCCTCATTTTATAGATAAAGAGAATAATACCCCCTTCCCCAAAAAAATGATACTAGTTTTTCAGGATCATCTAGGTAGTTAGCAGTAGAGATAAAACAGGATTCTAGACTTTGTGACACTCAGGTCTTCAATTAATGGCTTTATCTTCTGTTGCCTAGTACATACATTCTTAGCATTAAAGCAATTGTCTTACAGAATGTTTTCATGTAATATTGGTACTCTAAGAGAACAATGGTTAGGTATTTAATTATTCAAATGAAAATGAATGGGAAGTGTTAGTAAATCAAGATTCATGTTAGTATTAGAATTATTTTTGGCTAGGCGCAGTGGCTCATGCCTATAATCCCAGCGCTTTGGGAGGCCAGGAGTTCAAGACCAGCCTGGCCAACATGGCAAAACTCTACTAAAAATACAAAAAATTGCCAAGCATGGTGGCACACACTTGTAATCCCAGCTACTTGGGTGGCTAAGGCACGGGAATCACTTAAAGCCAGGAGGCAGAGGTTGCAGTGAGTAGAGGTAGCGCCATGCACTCCAGCCTGGGTGACAGAGCAAGAATCTGTCTTTTTTTTTTGAGAAGGATTCTTGCACTGTCACCCAGGCTGGAGTGCAGTGGCACGATCTCTGCTCACTGCAGGCTCCACCTCCCAGGTTCATGCCATTCTCCTGCCTCAGCCTCCCGAGTAGCTGGGACTACAGGTGCCCGCCACCACGCCCGGCTAATTTTTTGTATTTTTAGTAGAGACAGGGTTTCACCATGTTAACCAGAATGGTCCCGATCTCCTGACCTCGTGATCCACCTGCCTTGGCCTCCCAAAGTGCTAGGATTACAGGCATGAGCCACCACGCCTGGCTGACTCTGTCTTAAAAAAGAAAAAAAGAATTATTTTTCGGCCAGGTGCAGTGGCTCATGCCTGTAATCCCAGCACTTTTGGAGGCTGAGGCGGGCAGATCTCTTGAGCCCAGGAGTTCAAGACTAGCCTGGGCAACATGGTGAAACCCTGTCTACAAAAAACACAAAAAATATTATCCAGGTGTGGTGGCGCACTCTTGTGGTCCCAGCTACTCAGGAGGCTGAGGTGGGAGGATCGCTTTAGCCTGGTATGTGGAGGCTGCAGTGAGCTGTGATCACACCACTGCACTCCAGCCTGGGTGATAGAGTGAGACCCTGTCTCAAAAAAAGAAAAAAAGAGATTTATCTTTAAAGGAATGGCTAAGCACCATCCAAATTAAATTAAAACTGCAGTTGTTAATGAAGAAAGATTTAAGTGATATCATGATATCCCTTTAAGATATGCCACTCTTTGTGAAAAGGGAAACTACTGATATATACCTAGAAAACTTAATCTGCTTAATCCAATAGCCCCTCTAGTGGCAGTGGTGAGAATAAGTCAAATTTTAGAAGTACAAATTTTGTTTCTATCAGTATTTGGTATATACAAATAAGATTTATATATTTATATAAATGCTGATAAATAGCTTTTATCTGAAGGTGTTTTATGTGTAACAAAGTGTCTTTCATAATGCAAATATTACTATATTTAGAAGAAGAATAGAGAAAACACAGGATGAGTTTGAACCTAATACTACCTATGTGAACCTCAGTGTCCTCTTTTGTACTGCCTTCCTCACAGAGTTGTGAGATTAACACATAGGTGTGAAAATGTATTTTTTAAAAACATTAGTATTGTCATTAATTATATTTCTTGGATATTAATTGATCTTATATGTGGGAAGTTCTGTCTTAAATATAAGGTCAGATTATAATGTTTTGTAGTTTTAGCCTCCTATCATTGAGAAAATTAATATACCCTGCTTGCTTTATGTGAGAAAACTGAGAAAATCATGAACTGTTTTCTCTCTATTATATTATTCATGATTATAACCCTTGTTACCTATTTCCTCTTATCACTATTCAGAGTAATCTTTGAGTTTTAGAAAGAAAACTCAGTTTTTATATGTTAAAAATGAAGAGTCTGGGGGAAGGAATATGAAGTAAATATTGGAAAATATTAGCATTTGTCAAATCTGAGCGATGGATACATGGGTGTTTGTTATACTGTTATGTTGGAAATGTTTTATAATTTAAAATATAGCATGAATCATAAAAAAGAAAGCAAATTTATGATGTGAATAGGCCCTTAAGCTATGGTTAACCAAAATCATAGTTTTCATCTGAACATGGGATTCTGAATCATGTTCATTTCATTCCACAGAGTGATAGTAAAATGTTCACACATGCAGTTTTCTGCTGGTTACCTCAGACAAATCCATACCTCTTGCCACAGCATCCTCTCCTTTTTTTTTTTTTTTTTTTTTTTTTTTTTAAATTATTAAGAGACTAGGTCTAGGGCCAGGCACGGTGGCTCATGCCTGTAATCCCAGCACTTTGGGAGGCCAAGGTGGGCGGATCACTTGAGGTCAGGAGTTCAAGACTAGCCTGGCAAACATGGTGAAACCCATCTCTACTAAAAATACAAAACATTAGCCAGCCATGGTGGCGGACATTTGTAATCCCAGATGCTTGAGAGGCTGAGACAGGAGAGTTGCTTGAACCCAGGAGGCGGAGGTTGCAGTGAGCCGAGATCGCGCCACTACACTCCAGCCTGGTCAACAAAGCAATACTCCATCTCAAAAAAAAAAAGAGAGAGAGAGACTAGGTCTCACTACATCACCCAGGCTAGAATGCAGTGGCTATTCACAGATGTGATAATAGCTCGCTGCAGTCTTGAACTCCGGGGCTCAAGCAATCCTCTCACATCAGCCTCTCAGGTAGCTGAGACTACAGGTGTGCCACCGCACTTGGCCAGCATCCTCTCTTTCTGATGATTCTGGACAAGGGTCCGTTCTCATTAGACTCTTTCTTTTATGGTATATTACATGCCTTTAAAAAACTACACAATCACTTCTGATTAGGCAGGGAGTGGAACAAGCATTTAATAAGAAGCCAGAGTTTGTAGTCCTGGCTCTGCCATTTACTGCTCTATCTACACTTTGCCTCTCTGAATATAACTTGCCTTTTCTTAAAATGAGCATAGTAATACCTTTTCAGTCTAGCATACAGATTTGTTGAGAGATTATAGCATGCAACATAAATGAAGTTATAGATCCCCTGGCTGTTGTCATATGTTGGTACCTGTCTCTCTAGTAAGGCAGGATGTCTGATCAAATCTCCAGAAGCCAGAAGCGTACAACAGAAAGGAGAGTTACAGAGAGTAGCAAAGGGGGATAGAGTATGGCAGGACCCAAATAACTGGCCCAGCAGTGACAATGGACAAGATAACATTTACAACTTTGAGATTCAATGATTTTGTGAATATACTACCCACAGAGTACAAAGTATCATTGAGCATATTCTTTGAAACATGATAAATTTCAGTAAGGATTTGGAACAAAATCCCTTTCAGCTGATTTCTGCAAATTAGAAAATTTCATGTAGAGAATTGATGTCTCTGAGGTTTCACAAAATAGGAAAAAAACATGTTTCCCAGATAACATGAAAATAATGAGTAAGGCTGGCACGGCGGCTCACACCTGTAATCCCAACACTTTGGGAGGCCAAGGCGAGCAGATCACCTGAGGTCAGGAGTTCAAGGCCAGCCTGGCCAACATGGTGAAACCCTGTCTCTACTAAAAATACAAAAATTAGCCTGGCATGTTGGCAGGCACCTGTAATCCCAGCTCCTTGGGAGACTGAGGCAGGAGAATCGCATGAACCCAGGAGGCAGAGGTTGCAGTGAGCCGAGATTGTGCCATTGTACTCCAGTCTGGGCAACAAGAGCAAGACTCCATCTAAAAAAAAAAAAAAAAAGTACGATAAAGCACTGAAAAGTACTTATTTATAGTAATCAGCTAGGCTCCAGAACCTTTATCCCCCTACAGAGATGAATACCATGATGGTGTGCATCTCACTGCTGCTTTGTTTACAGTAGCTTTACAATAATTCTATAGAATCAACATATTGTAGTTATATATTACAAGGTTTGTAAAATTAGCTAATATCTTTTTCTACTAACATAAAATTATATTTGTTGATAGTATTCATTACCCAGTCAGTATTTTGAACCACATTCCATGTGATGCTGTGTTTGGGATGTTTTTTCCATTTACTCCATAGTAAATGAGGAACCATTGGCTTAGCATAATGATAATATGATCCAGCAAGGCAAGGAGCCCAGAACTCTGGGCATCAGGAACCCATCACATGCATATTGTGTAGTATTTCAATACAACAGAATAATTTGCTGTCTTTTTTCCTAAATCGAAATGAAAAGGATAGATGAGAAATCTGTTCAAAATACATAGGTCAAAAATACGTTAAGTACAACATTATTCAAAATAATTCTGAGATGTTTGCCCAACTAGTTTAACTTTGAAATTTATGTCAGGGTTTTTTTTTTTAAGTCTTTAATGTTTTACACATAGATTCTACCTTCAGTTAATACCTGGGCACTTTTTTGGCTGCCTATGCAATGACTGACTGAATGACTTTAAAGGGTCTCTATGTTGGTAGGCTGAACCTTATATGAGCCATTTTTCAAACTTTTACTTTTGGCCCTTCTCCTTGGGAGCTTGCTTCCCAGAGTCAGAGCTTGTGGACAGGCCAGTGCTAGAGGAAAGGGAGAATTTTACCCAGACCCTGTAAGAGAACCTCATAGTAAATGAAGCTATTCAGGTTGGAACCAGGCCTACCTTGCCATTTGGACCTTTCATATTTAGCTCTGTGAATGTATTTAAGTCCCAGTCTATGATTTTCTTGTGTGTTACTCATGAGTATTTTCCAGAATAAAAATCCCAAGCATGCTATAGTCGAACTTTGCCAGTTTGTTGGGTATGTTTGTGTGATTAACTTGTTAACATAGCAGCAATAGTAATGACATATGACTTTCTTGAAAACCTAGTTTGTTCCAGGTACTATTCCAAGTGTTTTATATGTATTAATAGGATGTCATTTAATCCTCATAACAACCCTATTATGGCTACTTTACAGATGAAAAACTAAGGCAAAGAGAAGTTAAGCAACTTGTGCATGGTTAAACATCTAGCAAGCAGTGGTGCTAGGATTTCCACTCAGGCAGTCTGACTCCAGAGTTCACATTCTTAATCTCTGTGCTATGCCACCTCCTGACTAGCTTATCTCTTATAGAGTCTGTGAAGGTTGTGTCTCTGGTAGGTCTCAAGTTCTGCCTACCTCTGTCACACCTGGATAAAAATTGAAATTATATCCTAGTTACAAATCATGCTATCTTGAGTCACTAACTTTCCTTCTTCCTCTCTCATCAAATAGTGCATTAAGGTAAGGGGGCATGAATAAACTTCACTGCCATGAGATATTTGTGAGAACATATGCTGTCTCGTTGAGAGATCATTTGTTTTCAAGTTAACAAAAACCTGCTGAAGCTAGTGCAAGCAAAGAAGACATTTATGGAAGGATACAAGGTTATCTCATAGAACCCAAGAGCAAGAATACAGCTGGGCCTCAAGGGGGATGAAAGGCAGGTAGCCAGGGTTACTCCCTTTTTAGTTGTTCTCATTAGATGTCCATAGGGAAGAAAGGGAAAGGAAGAGTCAGGCGGTATAAATAGGTAAGAATTTTTCAGACAACAAGAGTATGGCTAGATATATACTCCTCAAAAAGTATATTTTCTGTACTGCATCAATTGAAGGGAAATACCAATTACAGGTCGCATTGCCCAGTAGATTTGTATGGATTTAAAGTAATAACTAAACAATCCCTTTCAACTATTCCCAATCATCCTGTCCCTTCATAAGTCTTGATTCTTGGCATTTTGTTTATTCTCACTTGATCAGTCTCAAGTTAGGACTTTTCAACTGTTCTGACACCCAAAGATAAGACCCCTGTTTTCATCTCTTCTCCCCAGACCTTCAACCTGTACCATCAAAGAGCCTGTTGCACTTGCCTTTTCAAGTGACAGTCAGGAACCTGCCTAGCTTCCATTCCTAATATTAATATCCTATATGAGTAGTTCATACCATCTCTGCTTTCCTTGTCCTTTTCCCCCTACCTTTTCTCTTCCCAACATTATGAATACCTACTGGCTTTTCCTATTTCTAGGGATCCTCCCCCCTCCATTTCCTATTAGATAAACTCCAAATTCATCAGCTTGAGGGTTCTTCAAAATCATGTCCCATCCTAACTGTCCCAGTCATTCCCACTCAAGTCCTTCACTCTAAGCAGGCCATTTTCCACAGTGACCTAGAAACAGCACAGGCTTAACCATTATTCCAAGCCTTTGCTAGTACAGATCCTCTTGATTACAAAGCTCTTTCCCATTCCTTTCCTTTCCACCTCTCTGAATCCAGCTCATTTCTCAGGGCCTCACCTAAGACATTCTCTCTAAAGAGTCCTATGTGATCTTTCCAACACCTCAGGTAACCAATTGTCCAGGATTGCCTTGGATTCCTAGGACATCTGACTTTAGTACTAAAACAGGAATATTCCTAGGCAAACCAGGATAGTTAGACATCCTCCAACATCTCATTGTCTCCTTTCATTATAGTGGCTTGTTAGAATAAAAAGCCCTGTGAAATCGCCAGTAGCCACTACTTCAGCATGTACAAGGTCCTTTCTCCATAATAAGACTTAATGCTCCTGTTAGGCAGAGACCCTTTTGATTCCCACTTCATACAGAATATAGTGCTGTACTCATGTTAATGCCTATTAGTGAATAAGGCGATGTAGTTTTAAGTTGGCACTATATCTAAAATCTTTTCCTTGTGTGTTAATTTCTTTGTCTTTATTTTTTTCCAGCCCAGATGACTTACTCAATGCCTTGAATGAGGGTATCAGTCGTGCTGATGTCATCATCACATCAGGGGGTGTATCCATGGGGGAAAAGGTATGAAAGATAGGGCTCGTGAAAATGTATCTGCTGTAATGTTCTTGCATATGGTCGATTAACTGTGGTCTGGTAGGCATCTGATATTCATAACGAGGCTCCCACAAAGCTGAAAATCCATGGGGCTTCAGAAATTACTGGTCTCTTTAAAAGGGATACAATGTGGGTAGGTCAGGGAGCTTACCCTCAGGAGCAACCTGGAGAATCCCACAACTTACAGAATGGTTTTTGCTATTCCTGTGGAAACTTCTGACCTGTTTCTCACTCTATTTTACTACATTAGGACATCCTTTATGCATGATATTTACCACCAGGGTAAAACTCTAAGATCCTTCCTTCTACTCAAATTTAAACATGACTCCCCAGGAGCCAACCAATTCACCCACCATATATTCCAAATCTACCAAGAATGCTTAGCTCCCCTTCCCCACAAGGAAGAAAGGGAGGATTAGGCATTCCTTTTGCTCCTCCTTACAAAATAATATAATAATAATAATGAAAATATGGCCAGGCACAGTGGCTCAAGCCTGTAATTCCAATACTTTGGGAGGCTGAGGTGGGTAGGTTGCTTGAGCCCAGGAGTTCAAGACCACCTGGGCGACGTGGTGAAACCCCATCTCTACAAAAAAAATCCAAAAATTAGCTGGGCATGGTGGCACGCGCCTGCAGTTCCAGCTACTTGGGTGCTGAAGTGGGAGGATCGCTTGAGCCTGGGTGGTCAAGGCTGCAGTGAGCTGAGATCACACCACTGCACTCCAACCTGGGCAACACAGCAAGACCCTGTCTTAAAAAAAAAAAAAAATATATATATATATATATATATATATATATATATATACACACACACATACACAAATATTTTATAGGACTAAGTGTATTTGTAGATGGTATATACTTGTTCCTATAAAGACCACAATTTGAATATTTCAGTAACACTAAGTTTACATTTCTTAATGAAATGTGTTAGTTTACGATGACTATTGGGTCTACTGAATAATGTTATAAAAGTAAAATATTGTTTACTAAATAACCAAGCTTAATTTTTGGCTCAAAGATATTTCAGTGTAAAATGTTTTGCCAGCTGATAATCCTTTTCCATGTTTTCTCTCACATTAATGACTAAACTGAAAAATTACAAAAATACTGTCATAGCAATTTTTACCAAAATTCATATTTTCTAAGAGTTTGATTTATTTTAAACTAGATCTTACGTATATGATTGTTCTTGATCTCTGTCCTCTTGTAGCTATAAAACTGCCTAAATTTATAACCTGACTCTTTGGACAGTGAACTCTGTTGGCTCGGAGAACAAATGTCAGAACTTAGCAACCTGAACAGAAGAATGCCTGCCTTCCATTCACAAACTTTAGTGTCAGAGCCTTTCAGAATAGCACTGCAGATGCTAAAAAGTTTGGAAGAAAAAAATCTCACATTACATCCAGGAGTGAAAGTGTTGTAGTGTGTGTAGGTGTTCTTAAAGCAGACAAATTGCTGGATTAGTGTTCCCTCAAAGTCTCCCAGAGTCTTTAGCCCCAGGTAGAGCAAATTGCCGCAGAGCTCTCCTGAGATCACAAAGGCTAGGGGCTGAGATCTGCACTGTAGTACAGCTGAAAGAAATAATTTGCAACTTGTCTGTTTTCATTACCATCAAACTGCCTGTGGTACTCTCAATATTACAAGAGCAAACCATGAAGTCAGGTCTATTTAAATGTTAAATTTGTTATTTCCAGGGTTTGTGTCTTGTTATAATTTCTCTTAGTTTCTGATTAACCTAATTGTGGGATAATAGCTATTTGGCAGAACTAAAACGTTTATCTTTTCTAGTACTCTGGAGAGGTAACAAACTCATAGCATACATAGGCTTGGCAATTGTGGCTCAATTGTGGTAAGGACAGAACACTTCTCAACCTAACCTTCTTTATTAGTGCTAACAAAGATGTCAGTTATGCCAGGGATTTGCTCACCAGTAAACAAAGCCAATATAGTTAAGCATATTGGTTTTATTTTTTTTACTCTCTGTATAATAAGATACTTACACTAAACCTTTAATTTACTAGGAAAGAAATTTTAGAAACTGGGCATCCCACGGTATTCCTTAGGAGCTGCTAATTGTCCCTTCCTACCTCCTTGAGTGGGAATGAGATGATAGAGGAACCAGGAAGAAAGAGATAAAACATACATGCAGCAAATTCCTGCCAGCAAACAAGTTTTAATTCCAAAAAGAATTTAGGGTACCTCCATAGTAGAAAGAAAATAATAAAAGACAGAACATTTGCTTCAGCCCAGGAGCTAAGCCTGAAAACCAGTTACTAAAAAGACAGGGAAATCAAGGAAAAATTCAGAAGTATTATGTAGCAGGCATGAATATTAAGTGCAGAACCTCAGGTATGCAAGAAATGTATTTAATTCCATTTAAATTATACTCTAAGTGCCTATGCTACAGGACTGGTGGGAAATTTTATTAAGCCACAACTGGAGCTTACTATCTCCAAGAATTATGACAAGGAACCTGAAGGTACTTAAGCAGCACCAAAGCATCAGGGAGACACAGCTGGTCACTGGTCTGCACTGGATACATCTAGAGTATTCTTATAGTACCATTAGATCTCAAGTCTTTGCTCCTTTGGGCCATGCTAGGAGCACTAAGATCAGGTAGAGGCTGGAAACCTCAGAGCAGCTAGCCTCTTTGGGTGTATTTCACAGCCATCCCTTCTAAAGTCTGACCACTTCTCCAACATACTGCATGCTAAACAGCGAGGAAGGGGCCCTGCTGCTTGTTGGACTCATAGACCAGTACCTTCTTCCCAGCCAAGGAGAAATGATTCTTCCACAGTTACTTCCCTAAAGATCTCTCCCCTCCTTCACCTCACCCTGCCCTACATACTCTTTTCAAAGAGTTTCATTTTTACAAAACACTGAAAGCTTGTTAAATAGTTAAACAGTATCTGCCTTTTGCCATGAAAACTAAAGAATCATATGCATTACTATAAGTTTTCTTCGACCTACAAAATTATTAAATAACTCAAAGACAATGAAAGGTGGCAATAATCCAGAAGGATGCACTAAACTGGACACCAGTGACCTTTTTTGCTCATTTCTAAGTCTCTTAAGTTTTGCTAATAGTGTCTCCACCACCCCTTATGATCAAAGTAATCACATAGATGATAACCGATCACAAAAAAGGCTGGTTTCATGAGGTTTGCCCAGTTATTTAGCAATAAGAGTGTTAATTAACCATGTAAGCTCCTTGATTTGTTTTGTAAGTCTAGAGCCATGTAGCCTTAGAATATTTAAAAGTAATTGGCTGGGCACGTTGGCTCATGCCTATAATCCCAGCACTTTGGGAGCCCAAGGTGGGCAGATTGCTTGAGGCCAGGAGTTCAAGACCAGCCTGGCCAACATGGCAAAACCCCACCTCTACTAAAAATAAAAAATTAGCTGGGCATAGTGACACATGCCTATAATCCCAGCTTCTTGGGAGGCTGAGGCACAAGAGCTGCTTGAACCTGGGAGGTGGAGGTTGCAGTGAGCCAAGATGGCGCCACTGCACTCCTGCATGGGTGACAGAGGAAGACTCTGTCTCAAAAAAACAAAACAAAACAAAAAAAACTAATCAATATTCCAAACATACACATAAAAAAATTTTCTTTAATATTTCATTTATCCTACATCATTCTTGTTCTGCTAAATGTTGAGTTAGCAGTCTGCTTTCCTGAAGCCATCAGCTTTGATACTACATAAAAGTTAGCTAAGCTATATCACCTCAGAAGCCTGTACTCAAGAGGTTATTGTTTGATATCTCAATAGCAATGTTAAAGTGCCTATTACTCTCCTTTTCCCTAATGCTCTAAATCTGTCTCTGTTTCGGGCATAAACTATTGACTATAGCTTGTAGCAAAGCCTTCAGGCAAGCACCAGAGTAAAACAGAAATTCTCTGTGGATGACAAATACTTGAGAGCTGTGCTTAATTTGCTTCCATAACCAATAATATCAGAATAGAAGATAAGTGACATTCTCTTTTGAGATACATATGTAAGTATTTCACAGTAGGGTTTTTTGTTTTGTTTTGTTTTGTTTTGAGGTTTTTGTTGTATTTTGTTTTTTGAGACAAAGTCTCACTCTGTCACCCAGGGTAGAGTGCAGTACTGCCGTCATAGTTGACTGCAGCCTTGAATTCCTGGGCTCAAGCAATCCTCTTGCATCAGCCTCCCAAAGTGCTGGGATTATAGGCGTGAACCACCATGCCAGCCTAGAAGTTTTAATCAGCGTTTCCTCTGAGGGTAAAACAGCAAAGGCATTGTCAAATTTCCAGGAACTTCCCGTAAAGCAAACAATTTCTGAAATATTTCTATTAATAACAGTTTACCTATAAGAACCTAACCTAGGGCAGACTGAGTATCTCTTCTCAGATATGGCAGCTCCTCTCATGAAACTTTAAACAAATCTAATTATTCCCAGCATTTCTTTTTATAGATGAAAACAAACCTGGGATTTTCTAGAGGCCCTCTAGGAAATTTTAAAGATGAGTTTTGGTAAGAAAAGCACATTTTTTCCTAAATTTTGGTCTGATCTTTAAAAGGCAAAAATCAAAAAAGTTATTAAAAAAGAATGGGGCACTTGATGAAGACCTGAGAAACTACTTGGTTACCTAATTTTTCAAAACAATAAAATATTTGAAAATGAACATAGAAGGTAACATGACTGTAAATAACCTTGGCTCAATTCATAAATAAGGAACCTTTGTTCTTCGCTTTTTTATTTCTTTAAATAAAGATAAACAGCACAAAAAGGCAAATTACACAAAAAGAATAACCTTTCTTATTGTAGGACAGGCGTTAATCAGTACCAAAGAAAGAAGCACATCAAAACTCAGCAAACTCACTAAAATTTTAATATGTTTCTCAGCTTCACTTCAAACACAGTTACTAGAAACCAGGGCAAATACAATCTCATGAAAGTTTGTCCTTTATTATGCTCTTTTATATTCTGGAACAAATTGACACTTTAGAGCAAAGAATAGTCTTCATAACCGTAAGGGTCCTTGAGACCTTTTAAGAGGACCTGCAAGGTCAACACTATTTTCATAATAATTTTAAGACTTTATTTGCTTTTTTTTTTTTTTTTTTTTGAGACAGAGGCTCGCTCTGTCACCCAGGCTGGAGTGCAGTGGTGCCATCTCGGCTCACTGCAAGCTCCGCCTCCCGGGTTCATGCCATTCTCCCACCTCAGCCTCCCGAGTAGCTGGGACTACAGGTGCCTGCCACCATGCCCAGCTAATTTTTTGTTTTTGTATTTTTAGTAGAGACAGGGTTTCACCATGTTAGCCAGGATGGTCTCGATCTCCTGACCTCATGATCCACCCGCCTCGGCCTCCCAAAGTGCTGGGATTACAGGCGTGAGCCACCGCGCCCGGCCAGTTTGCCTTTTTTATTCCACTTCTCTCATTCTCTTTCCTTTTCTCATGAGTGTATGCTTGAGTTCTTCCAGCAGCTAAATGATGAGTGATATCTCATCAGATTGAGTGAATCAGATATGAGAATCTGACTTCTGGTAACCCAGAAGTTAAAGAGATTTTCAAAATTATAAAACAACGCATTGAAAATAAATTACTGGGCTGGGCGTGTGGCTCACGCCTGTAATCCCAGCACTCTGGGAGGCTGAGGCGGGTGGATCACCTGAGGTCAGGAGTTCAAGATCAGCCTGGCCAACATGGTGAAACCCCGTCTCTACTAAAAATACAAAAATTAGCTGGGCGTGGTGGCGGGCGCCTGTAATCCCAGCTACCTGGGAGGCTGAGGCAGGAGAACCACTTGAATCCAGGAGGCAGAGGTTGCAGTGACCCCAGATCATGCCATTGCACTCTAGCCTAGGCAACAAGAGTGAGACTCTGTCTCAAAAAAGAAGAAAAGAAGTTACTTATGTTAACATGAAATGGCTTTATTGTTGTTATTTTCAAATGAACCAAATGTTTTTTTAATTTCTTAGTTTTAATTTCTAATATAGTAAATATCCATAGCTATAGCTCACATAAACAAAAACTCTTAGGGATCCTTAATGAATTTTAATTTAAGAATATGTGAAGGGGTCTTGAGACCAAAAATTCTGAGAATCGGGCCTTAAGAAAAAAATATTATTTTTCCTTGAAAAACAAAAGAACACTTATAGTTATACTTCTCTGTCATTATTGTTCCTTATATAATTGCAACTACCCATATTAATTATGATGTTTAAGAAAATAACTAATATCTGTGTCATAGAGAAAACTAGGGAGCTTGGATAATTGAGAAATAATATGTAACCATTTTAGCAGACTAGCAAAGCTCATAAACACAAAGAACACAACTTTCTACTGCGGGACACATCCCTTTTACACCTTAGTGTAGCAAAGATGAATCAACACATTCATTAACATGACCCAAAAATACAGCCTTTCCAGCAAAATATATTCACCTTAAGAAGTACATAGTTACTAACTATATAGTTTTAATTTCTATATAATTAATAACTATATTCTTTTTAAAAAGCTAATAACTTAAAATGATGCTTAATAATAAATGCTCTAATACTCTATCTTAGAAATTAGGTATCTTACGATGATTTATTAATCAATTCAGTTTAATATCAACTCAAGATTTTAAGTAAATAAAAATCTTAAATTATTTTGAAACTGACATACTATAAAACATAATAACTATTAACATTGTAAGGTTGGCCGGGCGCGGTGGCTCACGCCTGTAATCCCAGCACTTTGGGAGGCCGAGGCGGGCGGATCACGAGATCAGGAGATCGAGACCATCCCGGCTAAAACGGTGAAACCCCGTCTCTACTAAAACTACAAAAAATAGCCGGGCGTAGTGGCGGGCGCCTGTAGTCCTAGCTACTTGGGAGGCTGAGGCAGGAGAATGGCGTGAACCCGGGAGGCGGAGCTTGCAGTGAGCCGAGATCCCGCCACTGCACTCCAGCCTGGGCGACAGAGCGAGACTCCGTCTCAAAAAAAAAAAACAAAAAAAAAAAAAAAAAAAACATTGTAAGGTTTTCAGAATAATTATTTGATTTTGTTGATCACAGTTTTATACTTTTTTATAATCTTAAATATTATATAGGAAAAATGTGAGATTATTTGATAAATAAGCCTATAGAAGTTTAGGAAAAACCCAAGTGAAATAAAATGTATACTTGTGTTATACTTAAGATTGATGTAAATAAGAGAAAGAACATGGCTGAGGTTTTTTTATTATTGTTATTTAAGTTTGGGGTTTGTTTTTTTTCTTTGTTTATATGTATGTTTTGAGGCAGGGTCTCAATATTTTGCTCAAGTTGGTCTCTAACTTCTGGGCTTAAGCAATAATCCTCCTGCCTCAGCCTCCCAAGTAGCTAGCATTATAGGTACACGTCATCATACCTGGCTTTTGGGTTTCCTTAATAACTGGAATTATTAAGTTAGTCTCATTTGCTACAGATTTATCCTAATTATATGAACTCACATTCTCAAAATTATAAGTAGAATATTTTCAGTGTAGCATATTTAAAATATTGTAAGTTAAAATTATTTATTATCTAGGAATTTTAGAAATATTTTATATAAGAACTTACTATCTCTCTCAGCCAGTTAGAACAGGGCATCTTTAAGAGACGATATAATTTATGAATACCTTACAGAAATAGGAAGGCAAACACTTCACACTCACAAAATGAGGTAAATGTTTTTCTGTATTACAGACACGTGAACACACAGACAGATAAGAAACACAATAGCTTCAGTTCTACTTACAACTTGAGCTGTAAGTCAAGAGTAAACACAGAACCATAAATATTCATCAGTCCACTCATAAAGAGCTATTTTCTTTCCTAGAGGGCACAAAAATCTTAATTGATTTGGCCTCAGAATGGACAATAAGAGAAATAAACAAGAAAGACTAATAAGCCAGATTCTCTGTCTTCTCTTAACCAAACAAAATAGATTTGTATCATCCTTTTACAGAGATCACCAAATGATTAGACCATAAAACCAAATCCCTAATCATTCCTGCCACAAGGGGCAATACCTTATTGGCCGTGTGCAGAAACAAAAACAGAACCAAAATGAATACGGAGGCCAAAATAGAGAAACCAAAAGTTACCAAAGTTACAGTTTTATTGCTGCTTGGAATTCACTCCAGGAACCAAGGAAAGATGTACCCTTTGTTTGTTTGTTTTTGTTTTTGTTTTTTTGAGACAGTGTCTTGCTCTGTCTCCCAGGCTGGAGCACAGTGGCATGATCTTGGTTCACTGCAACCTCCACCTCCCGGGTTCAAGCAATTCTTATGCCTCAGCCCCACAAGTAGCTGGGATCACAGGCGCATGCCATCATGCCTGGCTAATTTTTGTCTTTTTAGTAGAGATGCTGTTTCACCATGTTGGCCAAGCTGGTCTCGAACTCCTGGCCTCGAGTGATCCGCCTGCCTCAGCCTCCCAGAGTGCTGGGATTTCAGACTTGAGCCACCATGCCTGGCCTGTACCCAGGTTTAAGCCACTCATAAAGTGTACTTCTCTGCCAATGAAGTTTAACTGGCTCTGTCCAATGAATCAATGGAGCATCTCAGTGGAGCCTCTGGAATTGTTAAAGTTTAACTTTTTATAGATAAAATCATTAATCTTGATTTTGTCTCCTTTCTTGGCTTACTCACTGTACCTCGTTTTTGTAAATAAATTTAGTTGTTTCATAAGTGTTCATAGTATGTATAACTTCTATATTCTACCTAGAAGTGATATTACCACTTCGTGTATAGCATAAGAATCTTACAATGATATACTTCTGTTTTTCCCCTCTCAACATCTGTGCTACACTTGCCATAAATGTCATATTTACATATATTATTGAACCTTCACTATATCATTATGATTTTTCTTTAAATGATAAATTACTTTTAGCAAATGTTATATGATATTTAAAAATCTTACATATTTGCCTATGTAAAAAAATTATGAATCTCATAAATATATAAAATGAACATGTTTCCAAGACTTTATTTAACTCAACAACGAGCAAATAAGATGCTATGACCTATTCAAAGGAGAATTCAAAGAATATACCCATTTCAGCATTCTTGACTACCCAGGTAATCAGGTAATCAAGAATGCTGAAATAATTTGCTAATAGATGCAAAACTGATCTATACCCACCACAGAATAATCAATTACATCTCCACTGGGCAGAATTCATTTGCATTTCTTTGGAATAAAATTATGTTCACTGGCGGGGCGCGGTGGCTCACACCTGTAATCCCAGCACTTTGGTAGGCCGAGGCGGGCAGATCACGAGGTCAGGAGATTGAGACCATCCTGGCCAACATGGGGAAACCCCATCTCTACTAAAAATACAAAAATTGGCTGGGTGTGGTGGTGCATGCCTGTCATGCCAGCTACTCAGGAGGCTGAGGCAGCAGAATCTCTTAAACCAGGGAGTCAGAGGTTGCACTGAGCCAAGATTGTGCCACTGCACTCCAGCCTGGTGACAGAGCGAGACTCCGTGTCAAAAAAAAAAAAGGTTCACTGTCTTAGCTTAGGCTGCTATTTAAAAAATACCAAAGTCCAGGTGCAGTGGCTCACGCCTGTAATCCTAGCACTTTCAGAGGCCAAGGCGGGCAGATCCTTAAGCCAGGAGTTCTAAACCAGCCCAGGCAACATGGCAAAATCCCCTCTCTACAAAAACTATAAAAATTAGCTAGGCATAGTGGTGCTTGCCTGTAGTCCCAACTAGTCAGGAAGCTGAGGTGAGAGGTCAAGGCTGCAGTGAGCTGTGTTCACACCACTGCACTCCAGCCTAGGCAACAAAATGAGACCCTGTCTCAAAATAACAAAAAATACCATAAAATGGGTGGCGTAAACATTTATTTCTCATAATTCTGAAGGTTGGGAAATCCAAGATCCAGGTGACAGCATGGATGGGTTCTGGTGAGGGCCCTCTTCCAGGCTGCAGATAGCTGACTTCTTTTACCCTCACATGGCAGAAAGAGAGCTAGCTAACTCTCTGGCCTCTTCTTATAATGGCACTAATTCTACTCATGAGAACTCCACCCTCATCACCTAATTACTTCCCAAAGCCCCCACCATCACATTGGGATTGGAGTTTCAACATATGAATTTGGGGGTGGGGAGGGACATATTCAGTCCATTGCATTTACTCTCAGTTTTATTCAGTTTCATTGCTGTAAAATAGCTGAAAAATACAAATAACCAGAAAGTGGGTGTTGCACTGGACACCCAGTATTCTTTTCTGCCCATTTCAAAGTTTTGCACAATTTTTCTGACCACTGGTGTTTCTCCTTACCTGAGTTGAAGAAGAGACTTATTCCTTCATCCATTCATTTTTCTTCTTCTCATATGACTCTGGGGTTCAGAATATCAGACAAAGATCCTTGCTGCTTCAATAGGTAAACAAAAATATAAGAACAATGATGATTCTCAGCCTTTATCACTATGTCTGGTACAAGTTTTCTGTCTGTCACAGGAGCATGAAGCACTTCTTCATGTTCAAAAAGAATGAAAAGGGCTATTTTTAAAAACAATTTTTTGCAAGAAAAATAAAACACTTTCATTCATTTAGCAAATATATAAGCATCTGCTTTCCAAACTCTGCATCATAACCTTCAAGGCCCTGCAACTCTGGCTTCTGCCTATCTCTTCAAACTCTGCTTATACCTCTCTCCTACTCATTCACTACCATCCATTGCCTTTTCAGTTCCATGCACGCTTTGCCACTTTGGAAGCTTTCATTTGTATGTCCCTTCTCTGGAATTCTCTTCCCTCCACACTTCACATGCTTGAATCCTTCTTATCCTTCAAGGCTTAGCTAATATATCACTACCTCTTCTAGAATGACCTTTCCTATTCCCCACACCCTCATCATTTTCTATCCCAGCACCTGCTTATTTCCTTCATCGCATGTACCACAAATTATAATTATTTTATTTGTTGGTTTACTTGTTTTTGGCTATTTCTCTCCAGTAAAATGTAACAGGATATCTTTGTGTCAGGGACTATGTCTTTCTTCTGTACCATGAAATGCGTAGCACATATGGAATTCCTAATACATAATAGGCACTCAGAAATGTTTGGTGCACTAACAAATGAATGAGTGAAAGGTGTATGCTATTCATTAAGGATTCATTATATAGATATAGATATATATAGATATATATAAAAGAGAAGTTTCCTGTTCTCAAGAACTTTATAGTTTAACAAAGGATACATATCAGCTATCAAAGCAGTTGCTCTATAACCTAAGTGCATAATGTTAGAAGCATTTAGTGCTATAGGAGCATATAAGAAAGACCTGAAGATTTCTGCTTCTGCTATGATAGAATAGCATATTTGGACCAATTCTCCCACCAAGAACATCTATAAAAACTATGTAAAATTTTTTAAAGAAAAGCAAAAGCAGATGTCTGAAGAAAATAACCAAGACAGCCAGGATTCCGGGCACTAAGATCCCAGAGAAAAAGTGAACCACAGAGAAGTAAAACTGGAATTCTTCACCATATTTTTCCTCAAAGCATTTACTAATTCCTAAGCCAGGAGTGAGGTGGGGTGAGAGCTATTAATACTACAGGAGGCAAAGAAGCCAAGCATAAAAAAGAGTAGCTAAGAAGCTAATGAAATAAGCAGAATTTTCATGAGTCTTATGAGTTCAGGACCTGTTATAGAGGAGGGGCCCTGGTAAATATCTCAGGCTTTCAGCTTGAAGGGCTATGCTTTAGGAATAAAGACAATCTGCAGATAAACTAGCCTTCACACGGACTGAAATTCAGCATCAAACTATCTCAATCCCTGATTAGATCAAGATAATCTGAGTTTTCCTTAACTGCCAGAAGACCTCAAATTCTTTTTGGAGGAATATATCATTGTCCAAAGCCTTTTCAATTTTTTCATACCTGATATTTGGGCTTCAATCTGAAAAGTTGCCAGACATGCTAGAGATAGAGCAAAATGACTAAAAATTAAGATAGGAAACAATTGATAAAGTAGACCTAAAAATGATGCTGATACTTATATTGTCTCACATGGACTTTAATAACCATTATATGTTTAAGAAAAAGGGATGACAAAGTGGGAAATTTCACTAGAAAACTGGTATCTATTCATAAGAATCAAATTGAAATTTTGGAAAAGGGATAGAAAATATAGAAATGAGCATAAAAGACAAATGGGATGTGGTGAAAGGTCAAACATATATGTAGATGAAGTCTAAGAAGGAGAGGGGAGACAGAGTGAGCAAAACGATATTTAAAATATTGGCGGATAGTTTTCCAAAATCAATAAAAGACATCAAGCCAGAAATTCTAGGAGCTCTACTAATCTCGAGCCGGATAAATAAAAGAAACCATACCTAGGTAATCAGCAAAACTACTGAAAACTAAAGACGGAGAAAATTTTACCAGAAGGACACATTGCCTTCAAAGGAGCAACAATAAAACTAACAAATGATTTAAATGGAAATGATGGAACCCAGAAAACAATGGACTGGGATTTGTAAAATGCAGGAAAAAAATACTGCCAGTAGGGAACTCTATAGTCATCAAAAATGTACTTCAAAAATGAAGGTGGAGTAAAGACAATTTCAGCCAAACAAAAACTGTGCGGACCTAGACTAAATAGAGTTTTTAAGGTGGAAGGATTATGGAAGCATGGAAATGCAGAAAGGACTAAAGAGGGTTAACATGTCAGCAAATGTAAATGAGTGTTGATCATGTAAAATAATAATGTCTTGTGAGGCTTAAAATATGAATACTATATAGTGAATATATAAATATCAAGTATATATTGTCAACATAGTATATGTAGAAAATATATACAATAAATAAAATACATATACTTAAAATATAAACATATACATGCACATACGTATATGCTTAAAATGCATGTAAAATATATACACACAATAGCATGAAAGGTAGAAAGGCATAAATTGAGTTGATATGTTTTAAGGTTCTTGTATTGTCTGGGAAGTGATTTTTAAAAACCCAGTTATGAGTAGACTGTAATAAGTCAAGGATGCATATTGTAAATCTCTAAAATAATTACTAACATAATAATATAAGAATATGTAACTAACAAGCTAATAGAGGGGAAAGAATATTAAATAAAAAATATTTCATGAATCCTAAGGGAGGTATAGAAGAAGGAAAAAGGAAATCAAAGCAGAAGTGACAAATGGTACAGTGATAGTTTTAAACCCAAATATAGCAGTAATCATACTACATGTAGGCCAGGTGCGGTGGCTCATGCCTATAATCCCAGCACTTTAGGAGGCTGAGGTGGACTGATCATGTGGGGCCAGGAGTTCGAGACCAGCCTAACCAACGTAATGAAACCTCGTCTCTATACAAAAATTAGCTGGGTGTGGTGGCATGTGCCTGTAGTCCCAGCTACTCAGGAGGCTGAGACATGCAATCGTTTGAACCCAGGAGACAGAGGTTGCCAACGTGAGCCGAGATCGCGCCACTGCACTCCAGCCTGGGTGACAAGTGAGACTCTGTCTCAAAAAAAAAAAAAAAGAAAAATTATACTAAATGTAAATAGACTGAATCCTTCAGTTAAAAATTGTCATTCTGGATTTTTAAAAAAACAGCTAATCATATGCTGCTTATAAGAGACACATCTTAAATATTATAAAGACATAGAAAACTGAAAGTAAAAGATTTGAAAAAGTTACAATGAAATATAGCTGGTGTAGCTATATTGATAACAGAGAAAATTCTTTTTCTTTTCTTATAATACATTTTTATGTAGAGCAAATAGAGAAAATTAAGGTAAAAAGGATTACTAGATATTAGGAGGGACATTTTATTATTTTAAATTAGTTAATTCATCAGGAATATGTAAGTAACATTTGCAAATTTACTATATCTAATAATATAACCTCAAAATGAAAAATACGTGAATTAATTAATTAATAATCAACATTTCATCTAGTCCCCCAGTCTTTGGAGTTCAGAGGAGGCTGAGAAGATGACTGAGACTAAGATAAAGGTGGGATAGACAGTGGGGTAGAAAGAGTATTCAAGGCAGAAAAAAGATTTTCAAAGACTGGAGGCAATAGCTTAAGAAACTGGCCAGATGCGGTTGTTCACACCTGTAATTCCAACACTTTGGGAGGCCAGGGTGGGTGGATCGCTTGAGGCCAGGAGTTCAAGACCAGCCTGGCCAACATGGTGAAACGCTCTCTCTCCTAAAAATACAAAAATTCGCCGGGCATGGTGGCATGCACCTGTAATCCCACCCAGCTACTTGGGAGGCTGAGGGACAAGAATTGCCTGAACCCAGGAGGCGAAGGTCGCAGTGAGCCGAGATCATGCCACTGCACTCCAGCCTGGGTGACAGAGAGAGACCCCGTCTCAAGAAGAAGAGAGAAAGAGAAAAAGAGAGAGAGAGTGGCGGCGGGGGTGGGGCAGGGGAGAAGGAAGGAAGGAAGGAGTCTTGCTAGAATGTAGACGGAGAGAAAGATTGATAGGAATGTGGCTGGGTGAGATGGATGAGAACAATGATTGGGGGGGCTAGAAAATATAGGAATATTTGATATTTAAAAGATGATATGGCCTGGTGCAGTGGTTCACGCCTGTAATCCCAGCACTTTGGGAGGCCGAGACGGGTGGATCACCTGAGGTCAGGAGTTTGACACAAGCCTGGCCAACCTGGTGAAACAGTGTCTCTACTAAAAATAGAAAAATTAGCTGGGCGTAGTGGTGCATGCCTGTAATCCCAGCTACTCGGGAGGCTGAGGCAGGAGAATTGCTTGAACCCAGGAGGAGGAGGATGCAGTGAGCCAAGATCGCACCGTTGGACTCCAGCCTGGAGGACGAGAGCAAAACTCCATCTCAAAAAAAAAAAAAAAAAAAGATACTTTTTCCTAAAAACCAGCAACTTATTAAAGTATTATATAGTCACTTGATCAAATTTATCTCAGAGGATCTCTGTTACTACTGTGGGGAGAATGAATTGGAGGAGGGTGGCACTATTGGCAAGGAGACCTATTTCAGCAATCCCGGTGAGATGATGTTGGCTGAGGCTGTAGAGATAGAAGGGAACACATTTTTACAAATAAAAGTACCTAATAGTTTGTGAAATATTTAAAATGTAGACAGGTTACTGGACTCATTTTTAGATTAGTAAACCAAAAAATTTAGTAATAGACCTAGGTTTTTATTATTTAAGAGAAATGTTAAGGAGTGCAATTTTTTTCTTTCTGTCTACAACACCAGCTGCAGAGCTGTGTTATATTTCATTTCCAAAGATCAGATTTTGTAATATCACTGTGGGTTGGTCATAGCCACAGGTTAGTTTTGTTTTTAATACTAGAATATAAAGTTGGAGTAGTTAAAACTCCCTTGACTTTCTGTTTTAGAGTTCCTTTCCTGTTTTTCATTTTAGTTGAGCTATTTAGATTTGACAAATCTAAGTAATCTGTGGGCATATGTTCAAGTCTCTCTTCAAGGAATGTATATGGCTTTAAGATCATTAAGCAGAATGGTGTAGGATACATACATGTAGGTTTCTTGCCCGGGTACAACTTAAGACATATTTGTTAACATCCTTCTTCAGACATAAAATTCTATCTTAGAAGAGAAACAATAACGCACCAGCTAATGATATTATACATTAATGTAGTTGTTTTGTTTTTATCTAACTTCTCCTACTAGAATGTACTTTCTGTGAGGACAGGGATGTTGTCTCTTTTGTTCAAGGCTGTATCCCCCTACACATAGACTGGTACTCATCATATACCAAGTGTTAAGTAACTATTTATTGAATGAATAAATGGATAAATGAAGAATGAAGGAATATTTGTGTTAAGCAAATCAACTCCATTAAAATAAGAAAGATGTTTCTTTTCATTTCAATCTTATTAATTTAATGTTCATTTAAAGTGTTGAAAGTCTAATATTAAAATGTTTGAAAGTAAAGTGATTATTTTTAATGTTTGCAGGACTATCTCAAGCAGGTGCTGGACATTGATCTTCATGCTCAGATCCATTTTGGCAGGGTTTTTATGAAACCAGGGTATGAAAATCATCTTGTTATCTCATATATGGGGTTGGTTTGGCTTGCTTTAACTAACAAATTTTTAAATGCCTTCTTTTTACATTTCCTATTATGAATTAACTATTCCAAAAAAAAAGAAATATAGTATTAGGATCCTTTGCACAAGTGCAGGTTCTAATGAAATAGGAATTCATCTTCCTTATGAGTCAATGAGTTTGGTATAAACAAAACACAGCAACTTTCCAAACTTTTTCTCCTTTTTAATTCTCATCCCTAGTTCCTTCTTCCTCTTTTTCTCTTTTTCCCCAAACTGCTTCTTTATCTGTTTTTAAAAATAATTAATATGAGAACTCTGAAATATACACAAAAGTAGGGAACGAACCCCCACCCCACCCTGCCTTTTAGTTGGGAGGGAGGGCTGGTTTGTTTAAAAGCAAATTCTAGATATGTCATTTTGGTATACATCTGAAATAATAATACTAACAACAGCATTCTCTTACCTAATCACAGTAGTATTATGTCATCTAACAAAATAAATAATACTTTAATATCATCTAATACCCTGATCATATTCAAATTTCTCCCATATATCAAGAAAAAGAATGCCTTTTTATAATTGTTTTGTTTGATAAGGATTCCATTAAGGTCGACTCAGTGTATTTGTTTGTTAAGTCTCTATTAAATGAGAACATTTTCTGCCCCCACCCTTTTTGTTGTTGTTGTGCCATTGACTTGCTAGAGAAAATGGATCATGTTTCCTGATGAATGGATTTGGCTGATTACTTCCTTAGGTTATGTTCCTCTGTCTCTGATATATGCTATAAATTGAAAGATATAAAGGCTTGATTAAATTCAGGTTTAATTTTTTTTTTCCTTTGCAAGAATGTTTCATTAAGTAGGCTTTCACACTGTTTCCTACTGGCCCCTAGGAGGAAAGAAAAATAACTAAGGAAAATAACCATGAATTTGCACATCTCTTAAAAATTAATAATCCCTAAAGAAGGGCTGATGGAGGTCCTGAAGTCAGTTATAAATCCTCAAAGGTTGCCAAACGTTGGTATTAGTGAAAGATATGGCCATATCTTTAAGAAATAGTCTATCTGTTTAGACCTTTGCTACTCTATGAACCTATGATTTCCTGTGCAGAGACCTCAACTGTATGGCTGAGAGTTCCAGCCCACCTCCATGCTGTCAGGGACAACAGTAATGATGCTTTACTGTCAATGAACCCTAGGAGAGAATGGAGTAGAGGCTTCTCAGTTGTTGTAAGTGAGCTATGGGTACCATCAACAAATTTCAAAAGCCTTTAAAGTATCAAGCTAGCCCTCCTAATAAGTACCTCATGTCAGTTCTAGGATAGAGATCAGGCTTTACCTCCACGATTTGGCCATTTTTAGTATAGAATTAAGATTATTCCTAAAGCTTTGTCCACAATTTGATAGAATTCTTGGCTTTGTATTTCTGTAGTTGCATGTTGAGCATGCCCCAATATGGCTGCTGCTGATAGGGCCTTTTTATTATCGAAACTGTTGAATTGGGGCTGGGCATGGTGGCTCACGCCTATAATCCCCAACACTTTGGGATGCTGAAGCAGGCAGGTTGCTTTGAACTCAGGAGTTCCAGACTATCCTGAGCAACATCGAGAAACCCCATCTCTATAAAAAATACAAAAATTAGCCGGGCGTTGGTGGCTTGTGCCTCTAGTCCCAGCTACACGGGAGGCTGAGGCTGAAGAATCGCTTGAGCTGGGAAGCAGAGGTTACAGTGAGCCGAGATCATGCCACTGCAGTCCAGCCTGGGTAACAGAGTGAGACCTTGTCTCAAAAAAGAAAAAAAGAAAAGAAAAGAAAGAAACTATTGGATTTTGTCTTACGCAAATATTGTTATGCTATTGGGTATAACTGCTTTTTTTTTTTTCTGAGCCCATGGGCAGTACTAATCTGATTAGGATACAGAGGATATCCCAAAAGCATATCAGTGTGCTTCTCAAAACCTCAAAAATTGAATTGGGCCGAGTGCAGTGGCTCACACCTATAATCCCAGCATTTTGGGAGGCCGTGGGGGTGGTTCGCTTGAGCCCGGAAGTTGGAGACCAACCTGGGCAACATGGCAAAACCCCGTCTCTACAAAAAATACAAAAATTAGTCAGGTGTGGTGGCACATGCCTGTAGTCCCAGCTACTTGGGAGGCTAAGGCGAGAGGATCACTTGAGGCGGAGGTGGCAGTGAGCCATGATAGCACCACTGCACTCCAGCCTGGGCAGCAGAGTAAGACCCTGCCTCAAAAAAAAAAATTAATTGATTGTTCTATTTGCAGAGGGAAAGAAGCCAACACGACTTGCCCTTACCTCTAGAGAAGAGTTATTTGTGTAATATCTATCATTTAAAATATTCTCAGTGCCTGTGATAACTTTTATACTCTTTTTTTCAATCTGTTATTTACCACTCACTTCAACTTTAGCAGTTCATCAATTCCTAACATTTTATTTCCTCCCTTAAAATCATAACACTCTGACTTCAGCCATTGTGTAAATGCTGTTATAGTCTGAGCTCAAGAGGAGAACTGAATAATAGGTTTTGAGTTCCAAGGAAATGGCTTCCAGAGCTTAAAAAAAAATTCACAGTTTAGCAATAGGACATTTATGATAGCCATGCATAATAACAAAATATTTTTTTGCAATGGAATCCTTTTTTAAATGAGTAACTTTACAGAAATTACATTACCTACCTGCAAGATGCAAAAGATTGCTTAAATTGGCCCTATAATTTCAATGGGCTTTAAATGCAGTGGAAGGAAGAAGGTGTTATACATTCTCTCCTCATTCTTATTATCTGTAGGTTTGCTAAAATAAAGTAGTTTTGAAGTTTAAATGGGCTTCTTTTAGTTCACCAGAATTTTATGCTTGTCTAAAGGTAATAAGAACTTAAAGGTAATTGCTACTTAATATTAGAACAAAAGAAATATAAAACACACAAATACAATCTGGCTTTGCTATTTCCACGTAACAGTGCTTTCAGAATGCAATTAAGCTCTTTCATTTTAGAGACAAAGATACTCAGAAAAGCATTTGGAGTATCAGCAACCAGATCTACCAATCACGGTTTTTATTGCGTCATCTACAGTGAGCATAGCTGTTATTAAGAACAAATCTTTGAAATTATTTGCATCACACACTAATAATCATTGCCAAATAACCTATCCATAAATCAGTATCAAAATCGAATCTCATTTTTCTAAAACAGCAAAGAATCAGGAAGTATGCTAAAGAAAAGCCTCAGAGTAGCCAAAATAGATGTCCAAAGATCATGTACTAACGCTACATAACCATCCTGTGAGATCTTTATCCACATATCAGCTAAAGTTAGAACAACCTTGGTTCAAATCTGTGTTCCTCCACTTAGTAGCTGAGTGACTTGGACCACATTGCTTAATCTCTCTGAATCTCAGTTTCCATATAAACTGGGATTCTAATTGTTACCTTATAAGCTTGTTGTAAGACTTAAATGAAATAATTAATGTGATACATAGATGTTACTTAAAAAATAGATATTTTAGCCAGGCCCAGT
Source organism: Homo sapiens (assembly GCF_000001405.40). Lineage (NCBI taxonomy): Eukaryota > Metazoa > Chordata > Mammalia > Primates > Hominidae > Homo > Homo sapiens. The sequence continues at coordinate 67,163,037 of NC_000014.9, forward strand.
GGCCCACACCTGTAATCCCAGTACTTTGGGAGGCTGAGACAGGAGGATCGCTTGAGCTCAGGAGTTCAAGACCAGCCTGGGCACATAGCGAGACCTCATCTCTATTAAAAATAAAAAAAATTAGGTGGGCATGGTGGTGCATGCCTGTAGTCCTACCTACCTGGAAAGCTGAGGCTGGAGGATTGCTTGAGCCCAGGAGATGGAGACTGCAGTGAGCCATGATTGAGCCACTGCACTCCAGCATGGGTGACAGATCAAGACCTTGTCTCAAAAAATAAATAAATAAATAAAAATAGATATTTTTATTATTACTGTTATTATGTTCATTCTAACAATATAACTATTGCTACTATTCTCTGGTTCTCAAACCTAAAACCAGCTTTAATGGTCAAGATGATAGCAATCTCGCATTACAGGGTGCCACAGGAAAAAAAAAATTGGGAAGGAATAAAAAAACAGAAACAAGAACTATAGAAACATAGCAATGTGGGGTTATGGTTTATGGGTGAAAACAACCCATAGTACTCTTGTGACCTAACATCACTGTATTACAGCAGAGTAGTACACATTAATAATGATGGCTATAAATCATCAAAAGAAGTCAGTGTCACTGTATTATTGCAAAAGGTAAAGAGTGAGAGATCTATTTTTGAAAGATCAACCTCCAAAAAGAGTAAAAATAAAACAATGTGAGTGCTTAAAAGGTTAATATTTCATCTGTATGAAAAAAGTATGCCCTAAGAATTCTGCATTGCTTAAGGTTCATTAATATAATGAGATTTATTAGCTAAAATTCTATATAAAGGGTAATTAATAGAAAAAAAAAACACTATTCTCAACTGCCCACTCTATGCCACTCACTCCTTCCACCCCACCTCCTATGATAAGAGTTCATGTCAAAATCTTGAGGAAGTGTAATTTGAGAATATTTTTAAATTACTATTAATTGTGGCTGGGTGCGGTGGCTTACACCTGTAATCCCAGCACTTTGGGAGGCCGAGGCAGGCGGATCACCTGAGGTCGGGAGTTCAAGACCAGCCTGACCAACATGGAGAAACCCTGTCTCCACTAAAAAAACAAAATTAGCCGGGCGTGGTGGCACGTGCCTGTAATCCCAGCTACTCGGGAGGCTGAGGCAGGAGAATCACTTGAACCCGGGAGGCGGGGGTTGCCGTGAGCTGAGATCACACCCTTGCACGCTAGCCTGGGCGACAAAGAGCAAAACTCCATCTCCAAAAAAAAAAAAAAAAAAAAAAACTGTTAATTTTGTTCTAGTCATGATATTTTATTTATTTTGATATTTCAAAAATAATGTCTTGATAAGAGGGAAGTGTTTATGTCTATGCTAAGGATAGTTTTAAAAGGCTAATACAGAAGGAGCAGGATTGAAAGAAAAAGGTTAAAAAATACTCATTTTGAACAATAGGCAACTGTCTGATAGACATATTATCAGGTAATCTGCTTTCTTTTTTTTTGAGATGGAGTCTTGCTCTGTCGCCCAGGCTGGCGTGCAGTGGCCATCTCAGCTCACTGCAACCTCTGCCTCCCAGGTTCAAGCGATTCTCCTGCCTCAGCCTCCCGAGTAGCTGGGATTACAGGCGCACACCACCATGCCTGGCAAATTTTTGTATTTTTAGTAGAGACAGGGTTTCACCATGTTGGCCAGGCTGGTCTCAAACTCCTGACCTCAAGTGATCCACCCCCCTCAGCCTCCCAAAGTGTTGGGATTACAGGTGTGAGCCACCATGCCTGGCCAGTCTTCTGCTTTTAAGAATGATTGTTGTAAATCGCCAGCAAAAGTAGTATAAACATTATTAACTAGAGGGGTGGGAAAACTTGGAAACTCCAAGATTTGGAGTACATTTCTATGGCACTGGCAAGAAAAAAAAAAAAAGTAAGTAGTTTTCTTTAAACCAGAAAGTGTGGTTACTTGAAAACAGGAAATACTAAAAACAAACTTATTTAAGTGTCTGTGGAATACTTCAGAGTATAAAGATGTAAAGGCAAGTCAACAGAAAAGTGTTTTTTATATGATAAGTGTATGGATTACAAAAACACTGGAGTACTTAATGTATTCATCATATTGCTTAGCAATCACTAACAAGTGACTCTTTTTTTCTTCTAGCTTGCCAACAACATTTGCAACTTTGGATATTGATGGTGTAAGAAAAATAATCTTTGCACTACCTGGTAAGAATAACAAATTGTTTCCTTTCCTTTTTCTGGAAAAATAGCCAAAATTTTTTGGACTTCTCATGTGACCACCTGGTTTGAAATCTGAAAGACCTGGGCTCAAGTCTCAGCTTTTCTAAACGACCAATCACTTAACCTCTCTAGGAAGTTTCTTCACCTATAAAATAAGACTAATATCTACTTCATAGGGTTGGTGTGAAAGTCAGATTAGATAATATATATCAAAGCACATTCCAAATCCTATCAAAGCACATTCCAAATCCTAAGATGATCATCAAGTGTTAGCTGTCACTAGATCTTTCTGGAGCACCTGCTTTTTCCTTACAGGAAATTGGTCGAAGTTAGCAGCCGAATACCTCTCATAACCAGAAGTATTGTGCTCTAGAGGCCAAAATGCCTTGAGTCACCCAAGCAAATACCAAATCAAAAAATACAAAGCTGCCTCTGGTCCTTGCCAGATTTGGGCTGGTTGAGGGGAGGGGGAAGAGGAAAGGCCAGGCTACTGGAACTAGTGCTTCTCAGCCAAATCCTACTCATCATCAGTCTACAACTTCCCCACTCCCACCCTTGTCCCAACGTGAGCAGAAACTCACATGTTCAGATTATAGAAAGAGCAAAGCAGGTTCAGTTCACGATGATTTTCAAATTCAAATTTTTTGTGATTTGGGGTTATATAAAGTCATGGTGAATCTTGATAAATTTTAAAATAATTTATTGTGCATCTTTTTTTTAACTTTAAAATTATCTTCTGATCATTCTGTTCAGTTCTCTATTTTTTGGCACAGATTCCTTTAGAAAATAACCTATTTCTTTAAGATTTACAAATCTCATGGCTTTTGGATCTTTGTTTGTTTTTTAGGTCAAGTATATCTCAAAATGGAAATGTAAAGAAATGGAAGCAGGCAGAAAAATGTTAAACTTTGAAAACATTTTAAGCCCCTATCTATAAGCATAAAAGAGATTAGATTTCTATCATGTAGAAAATTTTCAGAGAGAGAACATTTAAGTAAAATAGTCCTCAGAATGTATCTGTAACATGAAACGCCTTAGGACCTTTCATAATTCCTTGGATGCTCTGATAGCCATTGTATAAAGAAATGTGCTCCTTTTCCTAGCTTCATTTAGCCTGGAAGAGCCTCTTTTGTCTACGGAAGATATGACTTAACCTACAGACCATCAGTGATATTATAACAAAGAATGTTACTGTGGGAGCCTATTTCACCATTATGCCAAAGATGTTATAAAATTAAAACCTGTTTTCAAATTCCTACTTTTAATTTGAAACCTTATCTGCTCAGCCTGAGTGAACCAACAGAGGGCAGCAGAAACTCACATGTTCAGATTGTAGAATGTGCAAAGTGGTTCCATTTACAAGGATTTTCTTTCTTGTTTTTGTTGTTATTGGTTTTGTTTGTTTTTTGTGTTTTGTGTTTTTTGTTTGTTTGTTTGTTTGTTTTTGAGACAAGGTCTGGCTCTGTCGCCCAGGCTGGAGTGCAGCAGCGCGATCTCAGCTCACTGCAACCTCTGCCTCCTAGGCTCAAGCCGTTCTCCCACCTCAGCCTCCCAGGTAGCTGGGACTATAGGCGCTTGCTACCACCCCTGGCTAATTTTTGTATTTTTTGTAGAGACGGGGTTTCACCATGTTGCCCGGGCTGGTCTCAACTTCTGAGCTCAAGCCATCCACCTGTCTCAGCGTCCCAAAGTTTTGGGATTACAGGCATGAGCCACCATGCGCAGCTTTACAAGGATTTTCAATTTCAAAAGTGTATTTCTGCTTTCCTGTAGGCCATGCGTTTAAAGCCATCCCTAATCTCGACAAGTTTTAAATCAAAGTTTTGTATATTTACTTGTTTTTTTGGACATTTTTAACATTGCTAGAGTGACACATGCTCACTATTGTAAAAATCAGAAAATATAGATAAGCATAAAAAAGTGTTAACCATAATCCCCCAACACCCACATATGGATAAACCACTATTACAAGTTTTTTATATCAGTCCTTCCAGTCCTTTTTCGTACATAGCAAGACCCTGCCTCTAAAATAATTAGAGCACTTCATTTTTTATACAGTAATGTTATAAAGTGGTAGTATTACATGGATTTTATAATCCTTGATTTACAATGGCTTTTTTATTTGTTGGTTTGGGGTTTTTTTGCTTTTCCAGAAAAAAATATTCTATCTACTTGTATTTTGAAGCAAGGGAAAGTAATTGATTCTTTTTAAGAGTCTGCTATTCTGTGGGCAACTCATTTTTCCATCGAAACTATTAGTATCACTTGTCACTTTTTGCACCTTAAAAAATCTATTCTTAAGCACTTTTGCAGGTAGAAGAGAATTGGAGGTATGATTATAGCTAATAATAGGCTAAACTGACCATTGCCTTTTGACTTGATGATGCAATAAGCAGTGTTTAGCCATGCCAAGGGAACCTAAAAATCTAGTAGCCCATTCCCCACTCCAGGTTATACATTCATGCTTACATAGAACTGTATAAAAGTATTAAAACAACTGAAATTTTAGAACCAGAAGAGATCTTGAGAATCATGTAGTCCAAACCTTTCATTTCATAGATGAGTAAAGTTAGACTCAAAAAACTTTGGAACTTGCCAAGATCAGACAGCTTGGTTAGATAATAATGCCACACAAGAAATCAAATCTGTTATTTACAGCCCAGTGGTTGTTTGCTTCTTCACAGCCCACCCTTCCTCCTTTGAAGTGTACGACACACCTAGATTTCTTCTTGGAGTGATATAGTGGAATTCCTCAAATTCTTCTCATAACTTTAAAAGAATGTGGTATTTGTATTAGTCTGCTCAGGCTGCCATGACAGAATACCATAGACTGGGTAGCTGAAACAACAGAAATGTATTTTCTTACAGTTCTGGAAGCTGGAAGTCCAAAATCAAGGTGCCAGCAAGGTTGGCTTCTGGTGAGGCCTCTCTCCCTGGCTTGTAGACAGCAACCTTTTCACTGTGTCTTCACATGATCTTTCCTGTATGTGTGCAGACTCCTGGTGTCTCTTCCTCTTTTTATAAGGGCACCAGTCCTATTGGATTACGGCCACATCTTTATGACCTTATTTACCTTAATTACCTCCTTAAAGGCCCTATCTCCAAATATAGTCAATCATATTGGAGTTATAGCTTTATCATATGAATTCAATCCATAACAGTATTCATCTTCAGGTCCTTAAAACACTTCTTAAATCATTTGGTGTTTTTTTTTAATTTAAAGAAATATCCAGGTAGAGAAGATTATAAATAAGTTTCCTTATGCTTATCTATGTTTTCTCAGTTTGGGAACCAAGCTTGTAATACTATAGTAATTTTTAAATGCTTAAAAAATAGCAAATAGATATATAAAACTTGTAAACGGCTTTAAAACAAGATTAGTAATGAGTAATCTTGATAATAAGATTAGTAATGGCTTTCAGCTGGCTCTCAGGAAAGCGGAAATAAATGGCGTTAAACAGCTTCTGGGCAGCAGAATTCTCCATTTTACTGAAAGACGCAAATGTTTACACCCCCTGTGGCATTTAGTTGACTATACCTCTGTTCTGGTTGGATTCAAGGTGATTCAGAAGAGGAAAAATAGTGCCTAGTCACTTCCGTCACATTCTGATACCCAAAGATATAGACAGACATAATTATTTGGCAAATTGTTACACAGTGTATTATAAATAACTGCTTGGTTGACTTTCAGGGAATCCTGTATCGGCTGTGGTCACCTGCAATCTCTTTGTTGTGCCTGCACTGAGGAAAATGCAGGGCATCTTGGATCCTCGGCCAACCATCATCAAAGCAAGGGTAATGCTTTCTAATGACCAGAAACCAAAATGGAAGCCTGGTAACAGTTAGGGATATGATTTCCTAACTGTCCAAAATAAACATCTAGAGTTTTCTATTAGTTTTGATGGAAAATGTGATTATATTCTCCCCCTGTGTACTAGAAAATGTAGGAGAAAGGGTCCCTTTAATTCTCCTACTTCATGACTTCTAAAGTGAATCATTTTCTCCAGATAGAAGTCCATATACGAGTCCAGAGAGCACGGCTTAAAAACTTGAGTGATACTTAAGGACAAAACAGTCAATAGGATATATCTGGCTCTACCCTAACACTAGACCTGTCTGGAACAAGGGAGAATTTTCTTTTCCCCATGCAAACTCAGAGGGACAGCAATTAACCTGCTCACTTTTTCTGTGACTTCAACGATAAATTTTAAACAATTCAGAAGAAGACAAAGGACTACAAAGAGACCCTGGTGATTCAGGGAAAGGGTAACCATATTGTTTAGAAGAGAACTGCTAAGGCTGAGAAATATACCATGGTAAAAGTCACCTGGAAATTAGGTCTCCTTCTCCACCAACACTAACTTCAATGTGATTTACTACTACTCAACTAATTATGTTATACACTTTCTCTGTGACTAATGAATAATGTTCTTAGCAGTATAAACTACAGTACCAAACCATTACTTTCCAAGTGTTCCGAAGTAAATTCAAATATGGCAGAATGCTATGATTAGTTGACAGGAAGAGCAAAAAACATAAAAGATAAAATATTAGGCCAGGCTCAATGGCTGGCGCCTGTAATGCCAGCACTTCGGGAGGCCGAGGCAGGTGGATCACCTGAGGTCAGGAGTTCAAGACCAGCCTGGCCAACGTGGTGAAACCCTGTCTCTACTAAAAATAGAAAAAATTAGCTGGGCGTGGTAGTGGGTGCCTGTAATCCCGGCTATTCAGGAGGCTGAGGCAGGAGAATCGCTTGAACCCGGGAGGCGGAGGTTGCAGTGAGCCGAGATTATGCCATTGCACTTCAGCCTGGGAAACAAGAGCAAAACTTCATCTCAAAATAAAAATAAAAAGATAAAATATTTTAAAAAATTACACTGAGAATACATAGGATAAAAACATTAAAAAAATCTAGGCTTTCAATAGTCTTAACATTGACTGTTTAAATGCTAAGAACTTTGTGGACTAGGATATGAAACAATCTCCTTTTCTTAAAATTTCATGAAAAATTTAACTAGAGTTTTTTTCATTAATCACAGTGGTAATCAAATTTGAAATTAAGTGGAAAAAGAAATAAAAACCATCCATGAACAAAAAGTATTCTGATCAAGTCAGAAGTCAGAGTCATAAAGCTTAGATTTAGACAGTCAAACCAATAGTACTGAATTTACTATCTTCATATTTACTAAATTAAGGAAATAAAAATTCACATTATTATAAGAGAGAGAGAAAGAAGGCTTCCCTTTGACTTTGCAGATCTCTTATGAATTCTTTCACTTATTTCTCATTGTAACATCCACCATCTCTTCTTTAAAACAGACATAGCAGCCATCTATTCTGACAACAAAGATGAGATGGTACTTTGTAATCAGACTGATGCTTGATATGTTGTTCCTGATGGTGTCCATTTCCTGTCAGCAAAGGATGTTAAGAAGTGGTCAAAAAATCAGTCAAATGCCTTTCTCCCACAGCAGTGTCACTGGGACTGCCAGTATGGGTCATCAGTATGCTTGGCTATTTGTTTCTTTTGTTTCTTAGCTTTCCAAATCATCCCCACATCAGTACTGACACAACTGCCACTTTAAAGCATAAACATATACTTCCTTGAAACGTGATAAGTCTTATCTCTCCTTTCTGACCATAAAAGATGCAGCTTACACACACCACTTATTACTGTTCTTCAGAATAGATGCCACAGTCATTGCCTTTACCAATGCTTGCTGCTTTCAGGAAGTGGGAGTCAGTGTTAAATGCTGCTGTTGGTAAATCATACTGTTGGACTCTGATGTGGCCATTCTGTGTGTCAGTGCAGAAAATGTCATCCTTGCTAGGCACAGTGGCACTCGCCTGTAATCCCTGCTCCTCAGGAGGCTCAGGCAGGAGGATTGCATGAGGCCAAGTGTTTGAGACCAGCCTGGGCAACATAGCAACACCCTGCCTCTAAAAAAATTAACAAAAAGAAAATGTAAAAAAAAAATGAAAATAAAATGTCATCCTTTCATATCAAAGCATTCAGAAGAGCATCATTTTAGAACAAACATTTCCCTTATTTCCTTGGTCACTTATGGTTGGAGGTGAAAATCTTCTCATTTTCAGTACACAATAAGAAACACTTCCAAAGCATCTGGTAAAGAAAAAAAAAAAGAAAAAGAAAAAGAAAGGAACACAATCCTAGCAATTCATCAAATAGAATTATTGACCCCGTGTTTCCATGCAAGGACCTTCTATCATGTGTTTCCTTAATATCCCATTAAAGCACTCTACCACCCTTGTTCTCAGCTTTTTTCGCTAGAAACATACCTGGAGTAACTCCCATTAGTATTAACAACTTATCTCAAGCAGTGATTAAGAGACAGAAAAGGGGGAAAGCATGTTCTAGAGGATAGCCAACTATAAGTCCCTCATGCCCATCCCCCCCTCACAAACACAGCCAGAACAATGAATAAATAACTGCATTTTAATGAAAAAAAACTGAAGAAGAGCAGCAGAGTGTATCCGTGGAGTAACAGAAACCCTGGTGAGCACAGAAACTCAGGATGGTCACATCGAGAACAGAAGGAAACACCAGGCCTCCACCATCGCATCCCCCAGCTGGATCAGCTGGGAACCAGGAAGAACTCCCTTGGCAAGGAATTAAGCAGAGGATCCCAGCAACCCCCATCAACACTTTGGACACCTACAGACCTCACAATGGGAAACCCTGCAGCCCTCACAAGCATGAAGCCCAGCTGAAGGAACTGCCTGGAGTCCACAGAGCTATGCTCCCCCCAGTAAAGGAGTCAACGCTATGCTCCAACCTCTGTGGCCTGTGCAACTACTGCACTACACCATGTTGGAATTGGAACTATGGCTAGAGTTTTTCTTGCTCTGGGAGCAAGTAGTCACAGCACCCCTTCATCCCCAATGCTACCCCAACACTGTGGCCTAACATCCACAGGCTGAGATGCAAGCAGCTGTTACAACTTTCCCAGTGGAGCCAAATAGAGGTGGAGCTACTCCACCCAGCCCGCCGCCCGCCGCATCCCCCTCAGCCAGAGCTAAAGCCATATACGGCCTCCTAGGAAAACAGTATCTTGGCTGCTCAGAGCAGTCATGCATCCCTAAGTTCAGTCATGTACTAGCCTAAGTTGAGCCAGCACCCAGCATCCCAGGAAATGATGCTTTTGCTGCCCAAAGTAATCATGCACTCTAGTACCTAAGCTAAAGCAGCACCCTCTATCCCAGAGAAAAAGTGCCAGAGCCACCCAGAACAGCCATGTCCCCAGGGCCTGAGCTGAAGCAGCACATAGTCCCTAGGTGCCCTGGCTGAACTGAGCAGCTGGGCATCCAGAACTATGCCGATGTAGTACCCACAACCCAGGGAAACAGAGCAGTGGCTGAGCTGAGACACCTCATCCTACAGGTCAAACAACTTCCTACTCTCCTTTCCTGAAGCTAGACTACCCCCCTAGTGTCTGAGCAGCTGAGAAACACCTCTTCCTAGGAAGTGCAGTCATTGCTATGCTATTTATTGCCCCCACCCCAGGGCCCAAATGACAGCAGTGCTCCACCAGTCTGGATTACTTATTGCTGCTGCACCTGGCTGCACAAAGTCTGGGATTCTACCAAGCCCCACCAGCACAGGGTCTGCAGTCACTACTACATGCTGCCTCATCCCCTGGGACCTAGGTTGCCACTAAGCCCTATTGACTCAGGTTCCTAGATAGCAACAATAGCCTACTCCCCAGCCCCAAACGTCCAGGGGCAACCCTTCTTCTCTGGAGTCAGGCCAGAGCTGTGCCCTGCCCGCCAGGGGCAGAATCATAGCTACAACTCAGCCACCTGAACCCAAGCTGCTAAGGGGTACCCAAAGTCACAGACCCTGGCTCTGTGGACAACCTACACTCAAAACTACCACAGGAAAAAAACAAGCACCCCAAGACCCAGGTGCCACAATGGGTTCACAAGACCCTTAGCCTAGGACCCTGGCCCCACATCCACTCTAAGCACCTGTACCAGGAACCCGGTGCTGCAGTAGGCCTTCTTGAAGGCCATGTCAGATTTGACACAAAGAGGGATCTCCCTAGGCTATATCTTCCCATTGTGGAGAAAATAAGAATAAGGAAGACACTAAAAGCCCTTAACACTGAATATTAGCAAACTATGCCACCACCACCACCACTTCCACAAACTTCTGTGGACTACGTAACTGAGGCACCCACAGTTACTGCTCGCCCTGAAAGCACCTGAAGATGCTGCATGGAAACTATACCACTATACCTATTGAAAAAGTCACCACACCCTTCCCAGCTGGCACACTAAAACCCAACTGCAAATGAAAGACTTTTTCTATGGAAACCAGAAAGATTGGAAGAAAGAATAGTTCTACCAGGTGCACAGATTCATGCAGGCTTACAAGAAACACAAAAAAGCAAGCAAATATAACACCGCCAAAGGAACATAATGGGTCTCTAGTAACAGACCCAAATGAAAAGAAAATCAATGACCTGCTGGAAAATAAATGCAAAGTAATTATCTGAAGGAAATTCAATGAGATATAATAAAAAATATATACAGACAAGTCAACAGAATCAGGAAAACAATTTATGATATAAATGAGAAATTCAGCAGAGTTAGGAATCATAAAAAAAAACAGAAATCCTACAGTTGAAGAATTCAATAAATGAAATAAAAATGCAATAGAGAGCTTCAATAACAGACTTTGTCAGGCCGAAGACTTTCTGAACTTGAAGATAGGTCATTTGAAATTACCCACTCTGAAGGGGAAAAAAAGAAATAACAATGAAAAAGAATGAAGAAGGCCTGTAAGACTTACGAGCCATCATTAAGTCAACAAATTTTTTTATTATACTTTAACTTCTGGGGTACATGTGCACAACGTGCAGGTTTGTTACATAGGTATACATGTGCCATGTTGGTTTCCTGCACCCATCAACTCGTCATTTACATTGGGTATTTTTCCTAATGCTATTCCTCCCCCAGCCCCCCACCCCACAACCCCCCGACAGGCCCCAGTGTGTGATGTTCCCCTCCCTGTGTCCGTGTGTTCTCATTGTTCAACTCCCACTTATGAGTGAGAACACACGGTGTTTGGTTTTCTGTCCTTGTGCTAGTTTGCTGAGAATGATGGTTTCCAGCTTAATCCATGTCCATGCAAAGGACATGAACTCATCCATTTTTATGGCTGCATAGTATTCCATGGTGTATATGTGCCACATTTTCTTTATCCAGTCTATTATTGATGGACATTTGGGTTGGTTCCAAGTCTTTGCTGCTGTGAATAGTGTCGCGATAAACATACATGTGCATGTGTCTTTATAGTAGAATAATCTATAATCCTTTGGGTATATACCCAGTAATGGGATGGCTGGGTCAAATGGTATTTCTAGTTCTAGATCCTTGAGGAATCTCCACACTGTCTTCCACAATGGTTGAACTAATTTACACTCCCACCAACAGTGTAAAAGTGTTCCTATTTCTCCACATCCTCTCCAGCATCTGTTGTTTCCTGACTTTTTATGATCACCATTCTAACTGCCATGAGGTGATATCTCATTGTGGTTTTGATTTGCACTTCTCTAATGACCAGTCATGGTGAGCATTTTTTCATATGTCTATTGGCTGTAATAAATACCTTCTTTTGAGAAGTGTCTGTTCATATCCTTTGCCCACTTTTTGATGGGGTTGTTTTTTTCTTGGAAATTTGTTTAAGTTCTTTGTAGATTCTGGATATTAGCCCTTTGTCAGATGGGTAGATTGTAAAAAATTTTTTCCATTCTGTAGGTTGCTTGTTCACTCTGATGGTAGTTTCTTTTGCTGTGTAGAAGCTCTTTAGTTTAATTAGATCCCATTTGTCAATTTTGACTTTTGTTGCCATTGCTTTTGGTGTTTTAGTCATGAAGTCCTTGCCCATGCCTATGTCCTGAATGGTATTGTCTAGGTTTTCTTCTAGGGTTTTTCTGGTTTTAGGTCTAACATGTAAGTCTTTAATCCATCTTGAATTAATTTTTGTATAAGGTGTAAGGAAGGGATCCAGTTTCAGCTTTCTACTTATGGCTAGCCAGTTTTCCCAGCACCATTTAATAAATAGGGAATCCTTTCCCTGTTGCTTGTTTTTGTCAGGTTTGTCAAAGATCAGATGGTTGTAGATGTGTGGTATTATTTCTGAGGCCTCTGTTTTGTTCCATTGGTCTATATATCTGTTTTGGTACCAGTATCATGCTGTTTTGGTTACTATAGCATTGTAGTATAGTTTGCAGTCAGGTAGCGTGATGCCTCCAGCTTTGTTGTTTTTGCTTAGGATTGTCTTGGCACTGAGGGCTCTTTTTTGGTTCCATATGAACTTTAAAGTAGTTTTTTCCAATTTTGTGAAGAAAGTCAGTGGTAGCTTTATGGGGATAGCATTGAGTCTATAAATTACTTTGGGCAGTATGGCCATTTTCATGATATTGATTCTTCCTATCCATGAGCATGGAATGTTCTTCCATTTGTTTGTGTTCTCTTTTATTTGGTTGAGCAGTGGTTTATAGTTCTCTTTGAAGAGGTCCTTCACATCCCTTGTAAGTTGGATTCCTAGGTATTTTATTCTATTTGTATCAATTGTGAATGGGAGTTCACTCGTGATTTGGCTCTCTGTTTGTGTGTTATTGGTGTATACGAATGCTTGTGATTTTTGCACATTGATTTTGTATCCTGAGACTGCTGAAGTTGCTTATCAGCTTAAGGAGGTTTTGGGCTGAGACAGTGGGGTTTTCTAAATATACAATCATGTCATCTTCAAACAGAGACAATTTGACTTCCTCTTTTCCTATTTGAATACCCTTTATTGCTTTCTCTTGCCTGATTGCCCTGGCCAGAACTTCCAATACTATGTTGAATAGGAATGGTGAGAGAGGGCATCCTTGTCTTGCACCGGTTTTCAAAGGGAATGCTTCCAGTTTTTGCCCACTCAGTATGATATTGGCTGTGGGTTTGTCATAAATAGCTCCTATTATTTTGAGATACATTCCATCAATACCTAGTTTATTGAGAGTTTTTAGCATGAAGGGCTGTTGAGTTTTGTCGAAGGCCTTTTCTGCATGTATTGAGATAATCATGTGGTTTTTGTCGTTGGTTCTGTTTATGTGATGGATTACGTCTATTGATTTGCATATGTTGAACCAGCCTTGCATCCCAGGGATGAAGCCCACTTGATCGTGGTGGATAAGCTTTTAGATGTGCTGCTGGATTCGGCTTGCCAGTATTTTATTGAGGATTTTTGCATCAATGTTCATCAGGATATTGGCCTAAAATTCTCTTTTTTTGTTGTGTCTCTGCCAGGCTTTGGTATCAGGATGATGCTGGCCTCATAAAATGAGTTAGGGAGGATTACCTCTTTTTCTGTTCCTTGGAATAGTTTCAGAAGGAATGGTACCAGCTCCTCTTTGTACTTCTCATAGAATTCGGCTGTGAGTCCTTCTGGTCCTGGACTTTTTTTGGTTGGTAGGCTATTAATTATTGCCCCAATTTCAAAGTCTGTTACTGGTCTATTCAGAGATTCGACTTCTTCCTGGTTTAGTCTTGGGAGGGTGTATGTGTCCAGGAATTTATCCATTTCTTCTACATTTTCTAGTTTATTTGCATAGAGGTATTTATAGTATTCTCTGATGGTAGTTTGTATTTCTGTGGGATCAGTGGTGATATCCCCTTTATCATTTTTTATTGCATCTGTTTGATTCTTCTCTCTTTTCTTCTTTGTTAGTCTTGCTAAGAGTCTATCTATTTTGTTGACCTTTTCAAAAAACCAGCTCCTGGATTCACTGATTTTTTTGAAGGGTTTTTTGTGTCTCTATCTCCATCAGTTCTGCTCTGATCTTAGTTATTTCTTGCCTTCTTCTAGCTTTTGAATTTATTTCCTCTTACTCCTCTAGTTCTTTAAACTGTGATGTTAGGATGTCGATTTTAGATCTTTCCTGCTTTTTCTTGTGGGCATTTAGTGCTATAAATTTCCCTCTACACATTGCTTTAAACGTGTCCCAAAGATTCTGGTATGTCGTGTCTTTGTTCTCATTGGTTTCAAAGAACATCTTTATTTCTGCCTTCATTTCATTATTTACCCAGTAGTCATTCAGGAGCAGGTTGTTCAGTTTCCATGTAGTTGTGTGGTTTTGAGTAAGTTTCTTAATCCTGAGTTCTAATTTGATTGCACTGTGATCTGAGAGACAGTTTGTTGTGATTTCTGTTCTTTTGCATTTGCTGAGGAGTGTTTTACTTCCAATTATGTGGTCAATTTTAGAATCAGTGCGATGTGTTGCTGAGAAGAATGTACATTCTGTTGATTTGGGGTGGAGAGTTCTGTAGATGTCTATTAGGTCTGCTTGGTCCAAAGCTGAGTTCAAGTCCTGGATATCCTTGTTACTTTTCTGTCTTGTTGATCTGTCTAATATTGACAGTGGGGTGTTAAAGTCTCCCATTATTATTGTGTGGGAGTCTAAGTCTCTTTGTAGGTCTCTAAGAGCTTGCTTTATGAATCTGGGGGCTCCTGTATTGGGTGCATATATATTTAGGATAGTTAGCTCTTCTTGTTGAATTGATCCCTTTACCATTAAGTAATGGCCTTCTTTGTCTCTTTTGATCCTTGTTGGTTATCAGAGACTAGGATTGCAACCCCTGCTGTTTTTTGCTTTCCATTTGCTTGTTAGATCTTCCTCCAAATGTTTATTTTGAGCCTATTTGTGTCTTTGCATGTGAGATGGGTCTCCTGAATACAGCACACCGATGGGTCTTGACTGTCCAATTTGCCAGTCTGTATCTTTTAATTGGGGCATTTAGCCCATTTATATTTAAGGTTAATATTGTTATGTGTGAATTTGATCCTGTCATTATGATGCTAGCTGGTTATTTTGCCCATTAGTTGATGCAGTTTCCTCATAGCATCAATGATCTTTACAATTTGGCATATTTTTGCAGTGGCAGGTACCAATTATTCCTTTCCATGTTTAGTGCTTCCTTCAGGAGTTCTTGTAAGGCAGGCCTGGTGATGACAAGGCTCCCAGCATTTGCTTGTCTGTAAAGGATTTTATTTCTCCTTCATTTATGAAGCTTAGTTTGGCTGGATATGAAATTCTGGGTTGAAAATTCTTTTCTTTAAGAATGTTGATTATTGGCCCCCACTGTCTCCTGGCTTGTAGGGTTTCTGCTGAGAGATCCACTGTTATTTTGATGGGCTTCCCTTTGTGGGTAATCCGACCTTTCTCTCTGGCTGCCTTTAACATTTTTTCCTCCATTTCAACCTTGGTGAATCTGACGATTATGTGCCTTGGGGTTGCTCTTCTGGAGGAATATCCTTGTGGTGTTCTCTGTATTTCCTGAATTTGAATCAACAAATATTTTTATCATCAGAGTCCAGAAGAAGAAGAGAAGGGAAAGAGGATAGGAAATTTATTTAATGAAATACTAGCTGAAAAACTTCCCAAATCTGTTGAGAGATATAGACATCCAGATCCAGGAAGTTCAAAGGTCTCCAAATGTATTCAACCCAAAAGATCCTTCCCAATTTGTCAAAAGTTAAAGACAAAGAATTATAATAACAGCAAAAGAAAAGCATCAAGTCACATACAAGGAAGTCCACATTAGACTAGCAGTAGATTTATCTGCAGAAACCTTAAGGCCAGAAGGGAAGGGAATGATGTATGTAAAGTGCTGAAAGAAAAAAAAAATGCCAACCAGAAATACTATATGCAGCAAAGCTATCCTTCAGGAATGAGGGAGAAATAAAGCCTTTCCCAGACAGACAAAAGCTGAACTCCAGCTTCTTAGCCTTCTTTTCTCTTTTCACCAGAGCAACCCAACCCCTAGACTTCCTGTATTAAGAATATAAGGTGGCCAGGCATGGTGGCTCATGCCTATGATTCCAGCACTCTGGGAGGCCCAGGTGGCAGGATCGCTTGAGCCCAGGAGTTCAAGACCAGCCTGAGCAACATAGCAAGATGCCATCTCTAAAAATAAAAATAAAAATTATTCAGGTATGGTGGCACATGCATGTGGTCCCAGCTACTCAGGAGGCCAAGGCAGGAGGATCACTGGAGCCCAGGAGGTCAAGGCTGCAGTGAGCTATGATCATGCCACTGCACTCCAGCCTGGGTAACAGAGTGAGACCTTGTGTCAAAAGAAAAAATACATTTTTAATTAAATTTTATTTAAAAAGAAAAAGAACATAAGGTGGTAGTGACAGCAACGACAGAATACCAAGGTTAGTCTCCATGTCCACTGTATTCTTTGCACAACCCCTACTATCTTGTATTTTTGTGAGATGATCAGGTGACCAAGTTTGTTTTCTTTTCTACTTTATTCTGTAGTTATCATGTGATGTAAAACTTGATCCTCGTCCAGAATACCATCGGTGTATACTAACTTGGCATCACCAAGAACCACTACCTTGGGCACAGAGTACAGGTTAGTCATTCACATCTACAGATATTCCTAGACACCTATCCTGTTAAAACACAAACTTATATATAATCTTCCTTGGTTATGACTGATTTTGTAATTATTATACATTTTTCTTTTTGAAAAGTTAGATGAGTTAAGTTATTCCTAAACAGTATAGCAAAAGTTAAAAAATAACTATTAGAAGTTTACTTATTTTATTGAGCCATATTTTCTAGATAAACATTTAGAATGTCCACATATCATTGACTAATGTCCTGTAATAAATCTGGAATTACAGAAGATTTGATATGTTTGTTCAACCAATAAGTTCTGAGTATAACTTTGTAGGAAAAGGAGGAGATTCTAGCTATACCATCTTGAAATGTGAGATGAAAGCCCAATTTATAATTTGATTCTCTGTAGCCTCTACCATACGCTAGTTATTGGTAAATTTGAAGGGCAGAGAAATCAATATTGATAATGCAGAGTTCTACAGTAACCTTCACTAGACTTTAAACTGTTATTCCCAACTTCCCTACTCATATTTTGCCTAATTTTTGATGTGACTCCAGAAAAGTTGTAGTACTCTTTAAACAAAGATCCTACCAAGTGAAAACGTCAACTAACAGCGACTAAGTTCATGGGCTTTGCCATCAGAGAGAACTGCATTCAAACTGGCCACCAACCTACTTAGCAGGACCCTAGGCAAGTTACCTAAAAATTTTTTGAGTCTTGTGAGAATCAAATAAGGTGTTTAAGTAAAGTGCCTAGTACTTTGGCACTCAGTAAAGAAATGGTAGCTGCTACCATTATTGTCATTATTATTTTAATACTTTTTTTAAAGCCTCCCTTTTCAGACACGCATAACATTTCAGCCTGAATTGAGAAATTCTATGGCATTTTGCATAATGCTATAAAATCCTGGTTTTACTCTTTCAAGCAAGAATTTCTAATGTTTATTTTTAAAGTTTGAATGAGAAGGTGGTAGGATATAATAGCATGGCCACCTGAAAAAGGTACTGGAAAGTTTGATCATCCCTTCTCCTCTTGAAGACCCGCATTTCTGTCTGTTTACATTTTGAAAAGGTCTACAAGGGCCCAACTGTATACGCCATGATGCTTATGCTGCTGTAATAAGAGTATTTCTTTCTAGGTAATCAAATGAGCAGCCGTCTGATGAGCATGCGCAGTGCCAATGGATTGTTGATGCTACCTCCAAAGACAGAACAGTACGTGGAGCTCCACAAAGGCGAGGTGGTGGATGTCATGGTCATTGGACGGCTATGATGGTCACCAGCAGGAGAAAGCTTTGATGCATGTCCACATATCATTGACTGTATCCTGTAATATGCAACGGCACAGCTAGTTTTCCCGATTTGGATAAAAGTTGATCTGTATAGTCAACATCTTGAACTATATTTCAAATGAATTTAAATATCTTTTAAAGAAAAAAACACCTAAAAATAAATCTTAACAGAAAATTCTGTTCTGATTATATCAAGGCAAATTTTTCCTTTCTTGCAAATTGCTTTGTGTGTTCAATGCTAGGTCTGATAGCGATAGCTTTTAGTAGACAGCGGTAGGTGCCTGCAGAACTTGTGTTTTTCTCATCTTTAAAATACAACTACTTATGCTCTTAAATCAAGGCTGTCTGCTTATTTATACTAGCGTAGGCAACACTTGGATTTCCCTTCTTAGTATGCTTCATAACTGCTTTACAGAGAGCTTTTGCTTGTTCTTTCTCATGTATCTCGTGTTTATGTGCACAGTGCCAAAAGAAGACTGACTGGGTGGAGGCTCTGCCTTGCCTCAAGAACCATCCCCTGCAGAGCATCCAGGGAGGTTTCTCGCCCCAATAGCCTCACGGCACAGTACTCTTGGGCAGTAACTGGACACCTTTTATTTGAAGAAACAAACTGAAGAAAAAATGCTTCCTTAAGTGCTGACAGCCTTTTTAACCAATACATTTAAAATTGTACAGAACAAAAAAATAAAATCAAAGACTGATCTTGTACAGATATTAGTGTTACCAGCATTCATGTGGAAATCAAGAGCAAAGACAAAATAATGTTAAACAATTCTGTACCATAACATTTTCTGTAATGATACTGAAACTTAATGAATAAAAAAATTCCTTGATCATTATTTAAAAATGTAATGTGTTGGCCTCGTTATTTAAAGAGAGAAGATTGTCATGCCATTCTGATAGGGTTCTGCCTGAATAAAAGAAATGGTTAAGATGGCCTACCAAGAATATTTAAAATATGGTATATTGTAACTCTGTATCTTACTACAATATGTGGGGAAAAATGTGATCATAGCATTATGATCTGTAGTGTGTGAAAATACAGATGAGAAGGAAGGAGAACCTGCAGTTGGTCTCGTCTTTCCAGTCATAGCTGGAGAATAGCAAGCAAATTTAGAGGAAGGGTACTAATGACTTAGAAAAAAAATAATTCTTATTTTAGACGCCATAAAATCCAATTTCAAACATCTACAGTTCTTTGAAATGGAGAAAAAAATAAGCAATGAAACAAAAAATTACAGATGAGCGCCTCGAAATTTTTAACCGTGTTAGAAAGGAAGTGAGAAATGGCAAAAAATATCTGTGCTGACCATAGAAAACACAATAGGTAAAATATACTGTATCCACAATGGATCCTTTAATAAAAACTTAGGGGCACTTTTCAAATGGTGGTAACAGGAAGATGTTAAATATACTGTAAAATGTGCTCAGGAAAGCAAACTACAAAAATTGGCCTACTAGTAAACAAAATGTCAAGGGATGGTAAATAAAGGCAAAATAGTAAACAAATATTTGATACTGATATGTGATATTTTCATTCATATTTACAGTTGAAGAAGATAAGGTTAGTTAATAGAGGTCAAATGAAAGAGTATGCAAATAATCCTTTTATGTACATTCATTCAAGAAATATTTGTTAAGCATCTATTATGTGCTTGGGTACAAAGTATATCATGCTACTATTTACAAACATGAATAGGGCAGAGCACCTGACCTTACACTTCATTAGGGAGATAACAAAATGCAAGCAAATAACCACGATATTTAATATATTTGATAATATATAGTAGAGTGTATAGAATGTGATAAATGCCATAATACAGATTTTAAGGGTTGGAAGAATTCAGATGAGATTTCAAGGAGTAAGATGGCATGTTAGTGGGTCTTTTTTTTTTTTTTTTTTTGTAGAGGCACAGTCTTGCTCTACTGCTCAGGATAGAGTGCAGTAGCATGGTCCTAGTGCACTACAGCCTCGAACTCCTGGCCTCAAGTGATCCTCCTGCATCAGACTCCGAAAGTGCTGGAATTACAGTTGTGAGACACCATGCCCAGCTGATGCTATTGGGTCTTGAAGGAAGGTAGAATTTTGAAGATGATAGCACAGGAAAAAGAGTATTCCAAAAACAGAGAATGACAGGTAATTAATGATAATTATTTTATTATAGGATAATTTCTATACCTGTAATATAAGAAGAACAACAATTATAGGGGTGTCGTGGAAATTAAACATATGAAATGTGCTGAGAGCAGTGCTTGTCATGTATTAAGCTCCACAAAGGTAGAGATTTTTGTTTATTTTGTTCACTCCAGTTATCCCCAAATTCCTAGAAGAGTCTGGCATATGTGCATATATGCAAGCATCAGTAAATATTTGCTCAATAAAACACATTATGTAGAACTTACTGTAGGCCAGGCATTGTCCTAAACACTTTACATATGTTCAATTTTCACAACCCTATAAGCATTGTTTTTCCTGTATTATAGATGAGGATACTGAGGCACAGAGATTAAGAAACTTGTCCATGGTCACATAGATAGTAGGAGAGAGAGCAAGGATTCAAGTTTAGCAATCTGACTCTACAGTCTATATTCTTTTATTATTTTTATTTTTATTTTTATTTTTTGAGGTGGAGTCTTGCTCTTGTCACCCAGGCTGGAGTGCAGTGGCGCGATCTCAGCTCACTACAATCTCCACCTCCCGGGTTCAAGCAATTCTCCTGCCTCAGCCTCCCAAGTAGCTAGGATTACAGGCATGCACCGCCAGGCCCAGCTAATTTTTCTATTTTTAGTGTAGATGGGGTTTCACCATTTTGACCAGGCTGGTCTCAAACTCCTGACCTCAGGTGATCCGCTGGGATTACAGGCGTGAGCCACCGTGCCCCACATCTATTCTGTTTTTCTTTTCTTTTTTTTTTTAATAGGGTTTCACTCTGTCGCCCAGGCTGGAGTGCAGTGGCATGATCTCAACTCACTGCAGCCTTGACCTCCCTGGGCTCAAGTGATCCTTCCATCTCAGCCTCCTGAGTAGCTGGGACTACCCATCACACCTGGCTAATTTTTTTATATTTTGCAGAGACAGGCTGGTCTTGAACACCTGGGCTCAAGTGATCCGCCCATCTCAGCCTCCCACAGTGCTGGAGTTACAGGCATGAGCCACCACACTCAGCCTACAGTCTATCTTCTTTAAGTTACAGAAACAAAATAGGTATAAGATGTTTGTAAGACTGAAAAAGTACTGATTTAAGGCCCAAAAGTTATTAAAGTTATTAAAGTTAATTTGGTATTAAAGTTCTTAAATACCAAATTAAGAGTCTAGATTTATTCTAGAGACAATAAAACCATTAGAGATTCTTGATCAGGGACGTATCATGATCAGAGATATCCTTTTAGGGAAAACGCTTTGGCAGCCTTGAGGCAGATAAACTAGAATGGAAAGAAACAAGTGAGAGACACCAGTTAAGTTATAGCAATTGTGCAGGTGAGGGGGTAGAGGTGATGGTGATGGTGATGGGAACGTCCGAACAGATGGATACGTCTCTGGAGAGAAAAGAATGGAAAGAATTTTATGTCTGATTTCAAGTTTTGGAAAGAAAGTTATAGAAGGGAGAGATGATTCAAAGTCTCCCCTCTTGGCTGACTGAGAAAATGTTAAACGTTAATAAAAAGAAGGAAAAAAATGAGTTTTATGGAGGAGTTGAGTTTGGGCATGTGTTTGAGATGCCAGGAGTGCTAAGATAGACATGTCCCATTGGCATTTGAAAGTACAGGTTAGGGGTTCACAGAAGAGTTACTGACTGGATACAACTTTGGGAACCATTCACATAAAGGTGGCATCTGAAATGCAAGGGTGGATGGAAAAGATTATCAAGAAAAGTCTTGCCAAGAGAAGAGGACAGGCCTTGGGGTGTTGGAGGAAAAAGCCATGAATGGCATGAGGGGAAAAACAGTTTGTAGAAGAGAAGAGAAGGGAGTGCAGGGTCCCACAAATCAAGGAGGAGAGTCTCAAGAAGGATCAACTGTAAATGCAAAAGAAATACCAAGAAGGATGAAGGCTCAAAAAGCCTTATTGATAAGGCAATTATTTGTGAACTCTTAAGAGTGCAATTTTAGTAGTGGGTTAAGAGCAAAAGCCAGATTACAAAATAGAAACTGTGAACATGAATTCTTCAGAATTTGTGTGTGAAAAAAGAAAGACACAAAATAGTAGCATGAACTGATAACAAAGTAGAGGGAAGATTTGTTCGTGGGTTTTGAAAAAGAAACAACAGTGGTGGGCATGTTAACAATGCAAGAGTAGTATCCTAAAAGGAGAAAGAAGAGGAAAGAAGGGCTGGATTTAAGGACCCTGGTGGCCCAATGTGGCTGGGAAAGAAAAGGGGCATTTTTCCTTCTGAGTTAGAAAAGGGAGAAGATGTGAACACACTTTAAGTGAAAACAAGGAAAATGTCCTTTAAATGTTAAAGTTCAACAAAATATTTCTACTTGGCACGGTGGACATCAATTTCATCTAATCTATTTGCATTTATTTGACAAATTATATAAGAAGCATGTTACAAGTCTTTTTTGTCAGTAGTTGATACTTACATAAAAGGCTATAGAAGATGTTTTCAAGTTTTCATTTATAGCTGTGTAAAAAAGTTAAGCAGTTCCTTTTAACCAGATTTTTTGGTTCTATGTTTGGTTGTTTCAAATCATATCAGAATGAAAAAAATAACATAAGCAGGTGATGTTTATCAAGTAAATGTTTGGTGATGTTGCATGTTACAGCAGGTGGATTCTTTTGGATGGCTTTCATATTTAAAATTATTTGCTAATCAACAAAATTTTGTAGATCTAACCTGTTAGCAATTCTTGATCTTCATGAAACCCTAACAATGTAAGTAATTATCATTCCCAATTATAGAAAGTGGGGTAAGGGGTTATGTAAGTACAGAATTCAAAGTAAATAAACTGTATGTCTTGTATTCCAATGATGATGGGTCTACATTAAATAATGCATTGCATTCTGACATGTTTATAAGAAGCATTATGCTTGACTCTCTGTGTTATGTTGTTACAGAATTCATCAATAACTTGGCCTAGAACCAAAAAGTTAAAGACTTGCTCAATCCTGTCCATTTCGTATGGCCAGCTACCAGTATTTCTCCTGCAGTCTTTTGAAATAATTCATTTTATTTAACAAGCATTTCTTAAACTCCTACAGTATGCCAGGCTCCATGTTAGGCACCGAGAATACAATGATGAATGAGAGTCTCAGATATCTAAGTGAAGGAGAGAGATTATGAGAAAGGAAAACAATTTAAATGCAGGTTAGGAAAAGTATATGAAGAACATGCAGTGACGTGTTAGACAGTGACTGGGTGGAGGCCTAAATCAGATTCAGTGGTTGTGTCAGGATCCAGCCATTTAAAAAGAGGCAGAAATCACACTAAGTATTTCAACAGAGAGACTTCAATGCAGGAATATGTTAAATAGGTGTTGGAGGCCTAGAAAAAAAGCACAGAGGAAACACAGATATCAGAGACAACTAGAGGAAGCAACTACCACAACTAGGGCTGGGGAGTTGGGAGGGATAGGTTAGGGGAATCACAGCTTAGAAGCTCAGAGGTCAGACCCGATGGAGCCAGGACTCAGCCCTCTGACGAGAGGGCGCTGCCCAGTTGCTGATTCTGAGAATGTCAAAAACAAAAAACAACCAAAATGCAGGCTAGAACCAGTTGCTGTTGCCCAGGTGACACTGACAGAAACAGCAGGTCAACTAGAGGGAACACAAGTCTCTTCTTCCCTCCTATTTTCCAACCTCATCTGGTCTAATGCAACCTATTATTGAACCTAACAGCCAGCTGGAGAGAGAAATGTAGTTTGCAGAGCTCCAGCAATTCAATGCAGAGTATGCCGTGGTGCATTTGCAGCCGAGAGACAATCAATGACCAAGTGATTGAGAAACAGCTCTCTAAACAGGTGCGTCTGAGCTGGGTTCTGAAAAACGAAAATAAGCCCACATGTGAAGAGCTAGGAGATGAGCATTTCAGACAGGAAACGGCTTAAAGAATGCAACGTCAGGAAGGAGGCAGAAATATGATGAGGGAGTGGTGTAAGTGGTCTGAAATATAGTTGGAAAGAACTGAAGCCAGGATGGAGCCAGATCGTGCTCACAAATATACAGGCTCTTGAGGTTAATGCTAAGTATATACACACACCTTATGATACATGACACATATTCTAAAAGCATTAGGAAGGTACTGAAAATTTAAAAAATAAAAAAATCATTTACTAAACAGTTGAATACAAGGCACCATGCTAACCAAGGGTTCCTGCAAACAAGCACCTCATTCTTTCTGCCTCCTACACTTGTTCCTCTGCCTGTAGTTTATTTCCTAGTTAATGGCACCATCATTCACCCAGCTTCCCAAACCTCTGAGTCACCTTTTCCCTCCCTAAGCCCAGTGAGTCACCAAATTTTGTGGACTCTACTGATAGTTCCCAAGTTAACTCCCTCCTTTCCATTGACACT